>NC_000012.12:112308612-112460128 GCF_000001405.40 Homo sapiens
ATGCCCAAACTATAACAATTAAAAGGATGCCACTCTGGGAGGAAAATATATCAACTGTATTATTATTACTTCTGATGATATAGGAACTTTCTTTATTGCCTCTAAAATATGTTTTAAAAATGCCTTGGTTTTCTGTTTACCTGAAGGGTGTTCTGGTCAATGACCTGGAAAAGGGAGTGAGGTTTATTATCGAAAGAGACAGGCCGGTGGAGAAGACTGCCGCTGCCAAAAGCCACCCATCCTGGTTCCAACTCCTCGTTCCGGCAGTACACAAAACCTCTGTGGAATGAAATGGAGCACAGGCTGAATCACCTGGCTATGTCAGAAACCCCACACAAGCTACAACAGACACAAACAACATTTTCGACCTAATTTTAAAAAATGAGTAAGTATGTAAAACATCTGAAGGAAAGTGAATGTATTACATTAACTTCAGGACTGCCAAACTATAGCAAATATTGACTTTCCACAATAACTTAGAGGGGAGAAAAATTTGGGGGAAAAGATCTAAATGTATACAAGGCTTTCAAACTGTAGTTTCTTTTGGCAGCAGTTTATAGATCTTATATCCCAACTGAAAATCACTTGCTAATCCAATGTCAAACCCAAGTTCAAAGAGACTTAAGTAGAAAAATGTCCACTTATTAACATGGAGAAGTCACTGATATTGTTACAAAAATACTGATCATGGAGGACTTTCTGGCTGGAAACAATGATCTTGGGGCTACCAAACTCTTCTGGGCCAAAACAAGGCTAAAATGCATTAACAGAACAAGATGGGGAAAGGTGGCAATAAGAGAAGATTGGAATTATTTGAATTAGTTCAGACTTGTTATTTAGTTACTAGTCTATGGGGAGCTGGAATCTACCCACAGTGTCTTCTTCAGAGATTTATGTAAGGAGGATAATGTTCTAGCCCAATCATTCAGGAAGTTCCATGCAACTGACCTGAGAGTACCATGTAATCCAGATCCCAATTTGCTTACTCCTCTTCCAACTGAGTTAGTAGTATACAGGTAAAGACCATCTGCCGTGAGACAGCGTCCCAAGTCAGCATCTGAAATCGTTTTTTCACAGGTAAATTATATATATGTTTTTTCTATTGAAATTATAAACATGCTTTTTCTAATGAAAAAGCCATTAGGAGGTTGAGTGAAAGATTACTTCTCACTTCTAAAATAAGAGCTTCAATGTGACTTTCAGGGAAGATGGCTTGAGCCCCCAAATCAAACATCCAAAATGCATGTGGACCAGAGACCAAGATATGGTCAGACAGTTACCAGCAGGGGAATGTGGTTTAGCCCGCCAAATGTTTTTCTTTCTTTTTTTTTGAAAAGCTTGTACTTAGTCAAGTCATTCCTAATTCTAATTTGAAATGACTAATCATAATTCTAATTTGAAATGACTAAGAATACAGTACAACACTTTTATTAGTAATTGCATAGTAAGAGAGGCATGAGCTCTTATGAGCTCAGTAAGTGACCCTGAACCTCTTTGAACGTCAGTTTCTTCATCTGTAAGATGAGGATAATAATATGTACCTCAAGGGTTACAGTGATGGCCAGATGAGATAATAGAGGTAAATACATCTATACTGCTCTCTGATGCAAAGCTAGTATTCCATAAATGGCAAATGAAATTGTGTTAATATACTAATGATATACATTAAACTAAAATCTGCCTCTGTAGATTTTCCATTCAGAGATCCTAATTTTAGTCTCTGGAGGGACAAAGCACAAAAGTTTCATATCTTTTCTATTTTAAAACAGCAATATGTTTCCCCTTAGCTCTGTCTTCCTCAATCTAAAACAGTATCTCTCTATATGATGGTAATTGGTTTAGTAACTCAAATTCCAAAGAATTTGCCTTAAAATAGAGCTTATGGATAAAACTTTCATTGTTTATTTTCATAATCATTCTGCTCACTATGTTTAAGTGGAGTCTTTCCACCTGAAGCATGCCATATTAGCTGGAGGAAATGCAATGTCACACCGTCAAATTAGTACTAAAAATGCTGTTAGCTTAAAAATTCAGTCTACTAATCTGAGACAACTGGGACCTGTACCTATTGGTTCCTCAATGAAAAAATTTGTTAAAGTGGGTAACCATTTTTAAAACATTAATTTCACACCTTAAACATTTTAATTTAAAACTTATAGATTACATTTATTCATCAATTTTTAGATTAAGGCCCAAGGCCTTCTGGGTATGGCTCTGTCGAGGGGCAGAAGTGAAAAGGACAAACAAAACAAGATTGGCCAGGAATGGATACTTGTTGAAGCTGAGTGATGAGTACACAGGGCTTATTATAGTATTCTCTCAACATCAGTCAAATGTGGAATGTTTCAATATTAAAAGTTACACTGTGGCCAGGCACAGTGGCTCATGCCTGTAATCCCAACACTTTGGGAGGCCGAGGCGGGCAGATCACCTGAGGTCAGGAGTTCAAGACCAGCCTGGCCAACATGGTGAAACCCCATCTCTACTAAAAATACAAAAATTAGCCGGGCATGGTGGTGGGCACTTGTAATCCCAGCTACTAGGGAGGCTGAGGCAGGAGAATTGCTTGAACCTGGGAGGCAGAGGTTGCAGTGAGCCAAGATCGCGCCACTGCACTGTAGCCTAGGCGACAAGAGCGAAGCTCTGTCTCAAAAAAAAAAAAAGATTACATAAATTAGTCTAAAAACTATATAAGAAAAACAGGCCAGGCGCCGTGGCTCGCACCTACAATCCTGGCACTTTGGGAGGCTGAGGTGGTGGGAGGATGGCTTGAGCTTAGGAGTTAAAGACCAGCTTGGGCAACAAAGCGAGATCCCCGTCTCTACATAAATAAATAAATAAATAAATAAATAAATAAAGTAATTATCCAGGCATGTTAGTGCATGCCTGTGGTCCCAGCTACTCAGGTGGCTACGGTGGAAGGACTGCTTGAGCCTGGGAGGTCGAGGCTGCAGTTGTGATTGCACCACTGCACTCCAACTTGGGCAACAGAGCGAGACCCCATCTCAAAAAAAAAAAAAAAAGAAAAGAAAAAGAAAAAAGAGAGAGAGAAAAAAAGAAAACCATTTCTCCCTAGATGCAAAACCAAAGGTTCAGGAAAATGAAAGCAAACAGATCAGCTTAATGCCATCCTCCTCAGTGAGAAACTACCCCAAGGGAGATACCAAATGGAGTTTTTTAAAAGGAGAGAATCAAGAAAGAAGTTTTAGTTCTATATTAAGAAGTAAGTTGGAGCCGATAATGTCTGAGAACTTCTTGGGTACTGCAGGCATTCTCCCTCTCCTGTTGACTCTAGTTGAATTAGTGAAGGAAATAAATCACATTTAAAAGCCTTGCCGCTTCTTCTCCACACACTCTCATGCCTGTTTAGAAGAAATGGTAGACCATGGAAAGGTACAAGCCCTGGGCTGAGAGATGCGAGGGGGCCTGCCGCTTAGATTCTCCTCCGTGCTGGTGGGGTTGCCCAGGAAGGCTGCCCCATGGAAAGTGGGAAATGAAAGGGAGGGAGGAACAGACTCTCTGTCCCACACCTGATGAACACCAGTTTCTTAGAGACTCACTTCGTGGAGTTTTTCTAAAACATTCAACTTCTTAATGGCAACTATTTCCTGGGTTTTTTTAAAATTCCTATTTCATCAGTTATGTAAGATTTAATGATAAAATCACAATAATAAGTACCAGTTACAATTAACAAACTGGTTTGGGAGCAAGCCTACCTCTTGGCAAGCCTGCAATTCCGCTGGTGGGAGCAGAGCTGACCAGCCCTGTGGGTTCAGTGGGCCACGGCAGGGCAGCAGCCTAGACATTTTACTGAGTGAATGGAGAGGTCTATCCCATCTGCCAAGTCAGTTAAGAGAGCTTCTGCCATTTTTGTTGAGATAATGTAAGAAACTGACATGTAATACTGTAAAGCTCTGTAAAAACATTTTAACCTAGCTTATTTGTTTAAAGTAGATGTTAACAATTCATGCTCCCTTGAACCTCTTCATTTTTTGCTTTTAGGACAGGAGGGCTCATTAACACACACACAATAAATTACTAAAGGAAATATTATCAAGCAGTAAGACCTGATATTCTATTAGCAGACAAAAAAATTCAACTTAAGGCTATCATACCCAAACTCAAATATCCAGCAGCCAATTTAAGTAATTCATGGCTCCTTGGCAAGAGTGTATGGATGATATCTTTTCCTTGTGATAATAAAACCTATCCATTTTCTTACCTCACCAGTATCAGCTTTTATACGTTTACTGATAAAGCAGACAATGAACATACTGAATAGAAATCTGGAGCTCTTAATTAAAAGGAACATACAGAGTTATAGCCATATCATTTGCTACAGTGATCTAAAACCTCTTTATTTACATCTTACTATTAATCACAGGACAAAAACTTTTACATTACCTTTATTTTCAGAACTGGAGCCAGTGTTGCTATCCGGCGCAGGCAACATGTCTTCATAACCCCATGATACTATGTGTTTGCCCCCAAGCAAACAGGAGGGAGATCCAGGCCCCCCTTCCAAAAGCAACAGCCTATATGGGGGAGAAAGAAAATCACAAAGACACTGAGACAATCCATTTCAGCAAGAAGTATACCTGCTACCCCAAAGAGTAGAAACCAAAATTTTAAAACTAAGATGTATAATATTTTATACAAATATTATTCAAAAAAGACATTTATAGTATTTTTATTTTTTATTTATGTTTCTTTTTTTTTTGAGACAGAGTCTCGCTCTGTCACCCAGGCTGGAGTGCAGTGGTGCGATCTCAGCTGACTGAAACCTCCACCTCCTGGGTTCAAGCGATTCTCCTGCCTCAGCCTCCAGAGTAGATGGGACCACAGTCACCTGCCACAATGCCCGGCTAATTTTTTTTTTTTTTTTTTTTTTTTGAGACAGAGTCTCGCTCTGTCACTCAGGCTGGAGTGCAGTGGCGTGATCTCGGTTCACTGCAAGCTCCACCTCCCAGGTTCATGCCATTCTCCTGCCTCGGCCTCCCAAACAGCTGGGACTACAGGGGCTCACCATCACGCCCGGCTAATTTTTTGGTATTTTTAGTAGAGATGGGGTTTTGCCATGTTGGCAGGCTGGTTTTGAACTCCTGACCTCAAGTGATCCTCCCGCCTTGGCCTCCCAAAGTGCTGTGATCACACGCATGAGCCATCACGCCCTGCTACAATATTTTTAAATTAAAAAATTACGAAGCTATGTTTATAAAAATTATATCTGTGTGTAAAATATACTATTTTATGTGTATTTTTGTGTGTGACAGAGAGACAGAGTGGGTTATGAATTAGGAAGCATATGTACCAAAATGTTAGGAGTAGTTATCTTTGGGTAATGAGATTATGAATGATTTTCACTTTCTTCATTATACCTTAATATATTATCATCTCAAAATTTGCATCAGAATTCATTATAAGCTATTGCATCTTTATTTTTTGAAACAGAGTCTCGCCCTGTCACCTAGGCTGGAGTGCAGTGGTGTGATCTCGACTTACTGTAACCTCTGCTTCCTAGCCTCAAGCAATCCTCCTGCTTCAGCCTCCCTAGTAGCTGGGACCACAGGCACGCACCACCACACTCATGAGTTATTATGCCCCACCAGCTATTGCATTTTTAAAGACATAGAACTAAAAAATAATGAAAAATAACATGCTCTAAAAACTTTCCAAAAAGGAAAGATAAAAAATAAAATTCTTAAGAAGGTAAATATGAGTCTATACTTATTTTAAAATGAATCACTAATTGATAAGAGTTTAGCAATCTACTTAATAAAGGAAGCATTTGGCACAAATCTGCCTAGTTTGGAAGGAGGGTAAGGATACAAAGTGACAACTTACCTATATAGCACATCAGCTACAGGCAGGGACCCTAGATCCGTCTGTTTCTGTAATAGATGGACTGTGTGGACGAAAGTTTTCAATGATCCCCTAAAAATAAAAGGAAGGAACAGTAAATCATCAAAATTTAAAATCAAATAATTTAGGTCATTAATGCTAATTTAATTAACCACATGGAAAAGTTCCAAAATGTGTCTCTCTGCTTCTGCTGGTCAGATGATGTGTTGTAAAAAAAATACTTGATTATTAACTATCACCATTGGCTCATACACAAAGATACAATGAAAACAACACCATGCCAATTATGAAGAAGTTCTCCTTGCATTTGGAAAAGTAAACAATTTTCCCCTGGCATAAAAGTTCAAAACATAAGGCTCGAGCACAAAGAACTTGTGGCTATTATGCTTGGTTACTATATCACCAAGTCACCCTCTGGAGGATCATAAAGTCTAACAGTATTTCCAGGCTTGATTTTAAAATCTTTGCTAAGTTCATTCATTTGGAAAAACAGCTAACTAAACTCCATCACATTAAATATGACCAAAAAGAATATATTCAAATAAATAATGCTCTGTGCTGAGAGATGCTCCTTCTGTATCCCTCTGACTGCACATAGTTGTAATACTTGCAACAGGGCTCACCGCTACCTGAATTCCTTGTGGTTTCCAAGACTCAAGGCTCTGGGAAGTCTGTCATATGGTCAGCAAGATCTAAAAGAAGGTGCTTTTAAGATGCACAAGACTTACCTGGCCGCATCCCAAGTACAAATCACCACAAGAACACTTCCTGAACTAAATGATCGCCTGTATCTGACGGGCTGACTTCGACTTGCTGCCTTAGTCTCTTAGCCAAGGCTTTAATTGCTGGGTATCATATGCCTAAACGCCAATAGAAATGGAATACCTAACGCAGAACCAAGTAGGCCTAGAGTCTTCCTGTTAATTGCCCCTTTCACTATCTCTAGTTTCAGAGAATAAAAACAAAAGAATAGCATTAATAGAAGGCAAGGAGGCAGCAGATAGAGTATAAAAACAAGTTGGAATCGGGACACATGGGTTCTGAAACCTGGCTCTGCCACTCATCAGCTGCACAATCTCAGTCCTGTCACCTAACTCCTATGGATTTTTGCTTCTTCATCTGCCCAACAGGGACACTTTCCTGGGGAACAGTGAGGTTTAAAATAAAGAAGCAAAACCTTTAACATTTAGAAAGTTTAGAACTATTAACCAACTCTAAGGAATTATTACCTGCCAGATTCAATCAGATTTGTTTTTTTAAAAGAGACAGGGTCTGGCTGGGTGCAGTGGCTCACACCTGTAATCCCAGCACTTTGGGAGGCTGAGGCAGGAGGATTGCTTGAACACAGGAGTTCAAGGTTGCAGTGAGCTATGATCACACCACTGCACTCCAGCCTAGGCAACGGAATGAGACCATGTCTTAAAAAAAAAAAAAAAAAAAAAAAGAGAGACAGGGTCTCATTATGTTGCCTAGACTGGTCTCGAACTCCTGGCCTCAAGAGATGCTCCTGCTTTAGCCTCCCAAAGTGCTGAAATTATAGATGTGAGCCACCATATCCAGCCTTCAATCAGATTTTAAGAGTAAAATGTAAAGTCCTTCCATGGCTCACAAACCCCTATGTGATCTGGGCCCTGCCAACTTCATCTCCTGCCCCTCTCCTTCTACTATCACGTTCCAGAAACCCTGCCCACTGTGCTGTCCCCTCAGATACCCCAAGCACAAGAATAATGTCAGTTTTGTCACTCGCCACTCCATTTACGTGGAACTCTCTGCCACTGGCTGCTTCTCATCATCCAGGGCCCAGTTCAAGTGTCATCTCTTCAGTAAGGCCTTCCCTGGCATCTCCAGCTAATGCTGCTCTCCACCTCCACAGTCATTCTCTATCAAAATATCTCTCTGTCTTTTCCTATAGTGAATATTCCTCTCTACAATGATCTGTTACCTATATTTGTTGCTCACTGTCTGCCTCCCTCACTCCTATGTAAGCTCTGCAATTTTAGGCACGGTCTACCTGCTCTCCACTGTATCCCTACCACCAAGAGAATGCCTTCCGTGCAGTAAGTGAGCAATAAGGTTTTGCAGAATGACTTACCCTGAGTCCATTCAACCGTAAGCTCTGTGAGGTAAGAAACCTAGAATCACTATATCCCTAAGACCGGGCAAGATTCCTGTACATCAGAAATGTTCAATAAATGTTAGTTGGTTGAATGAATAATCTTCATAATAATTTTGGGGAAGGGTTACTTTGTCTTTGAGAGCATCAACCCAAAAATTCAATAATATGCCACTAATAACTTTAGTAAGATGATCTAACACTGAAAAGCACATGACTTCTGAAGTCCAGAACATGATATTGGCAATAAAATGTAGGAACCATGTTAAAAAAAAAAAAACCCAAGAAGAATAAATAAATAAATACATCCATTTCAACATTTCTGCTGAATGAAATTTAGAATGTCCAGCACAGGAAGTAAGTTCAATAACTATTTTTGGTATAGGCTGAATTTGGGTACACAATAAAAATGTGAGTTTTATGAACCAACAATTAATAACTTAAACTGTTTGAAACTAAAGAGTTGATAATTATTCCTAACATCCTAAATCTGTCTAAAGATAGTACTGTCTAAAAGCACATTTTCTCAAATGGAATTTGCACAGTGATAACAGATCTTGGACTTGAAATTGTCTCTGCATATGCAGAAAATAAATCAATCCAATATAAAGCCTTTACAAGGAAACTTGTTTCAGTACCACACAATGACTCTAGAATTAAGCACATGTCAGGATTCACAAACCACAGTTTTAGGGGATCTAAAACTAGGCTATGACAGCTTGCTCAGAGCAAAGAAACTTACAATAAACACTGGTGCCATTTTGCCTTAAAAAAACCCTTGAGATTCAATCATTTGAAGGTCAACTTTGAAACTATACAGAGAAAAACAGGGCAAGAAGACTTATAACTAAGAACTTCATAATTATCCAAGAAGAATTCTCCCACAGATGTTTGGCTAAAAGAAAGAAGATCCCAACCAAGGAAAAAATTCTACGGAAGACAGACAGAATACTGACACTAATCTGTCAGGCTGTGGTCCTAACTGTTCTCTAGGCAATTAGTCTACTGGAAAACAAAGGTAGTGAAACTTCTTTCTCACAAACAGATGCCAGTGATCATACGGGTCAATGGGTAGAAGAATGTATAAAATTCCTAGAAAAGCAACTCCAGGCCGGGCAGGGTGGCTCATGCCTGTAATCCCAGCACTCTGGGAGGCCAAGGCCGGCAGATTGCTTCAGCTCAGGAGTTTGAGACCAGCCTGGGCAACAAGGGGAAACCCCGTCTCTACCAAAGATACAAAAAATTAGCCAGCCATGGTGGCAGGTGCCTGTAGTCCCAGCTACTCGGGAGGCTGAGGTGGGAGGATCACAGTGAGCTGAGATCATGTCACTGCACTTCAGCCTGGTCTTTGAGAGCAAGACCCCATCTCAAAAAAAAAAAAAAAAAAAAAAAAAAAGAGAGGAATAGGCCAGGCACAGTGGCTCATGCCTGTATTCCAGTACTCTTGGAGGCTGAGGTGGGCGGATCACTTGAGGTCAGGAATTTGAGACCAGTCTGGCCAACATGGTGAAACCCCATCTCTACTAAAAATACAAAAAAATTAGTTGGGCACCTGTAATCCCAGCTACTTGGGAGGCTGAGGCAGGAGAATCACTTGAATCCGGGAGGTGGAAGTTGTGGTGAGCCAAGATCATGCCACTGCACTCCAGCCTGGGTGACAGAGTGAGACTCTGTCTCAAAAAAAAGAGAAAAGAAAAGAGAAAAGAGAGAAAAGCAAAAAGAAAAGCAACTCCAAGCATATTTCCTATTGATAGTGGGTTGATGACTTGCACATGAAGAACAGCATACAATTTTTTTTTTTTTTAAAGACAAAGTCTTGGTCTGTTGCCCAGGTTAGGGTGCAGTGGCGCCAACTTGGCTCACTGCAACCACTGCTTCCTGGGTTTAAATGATTGTCCTGCCTAAGCCTCCAGGTAGCTGGGATTACAGGCACCCACCACAACGCCCGGCTAATTTTTGTATTTTTAGTAGAGACAGGGTTTCACCATGTTGGCCAGGGCAGTCTAGAACTCCTGACCTCAAGTGATCTGCCCACCTCAGCCTCCCAAAGTGCTAGGATTACAAGCGTGAGCCACCACGTCCAGCCATGTGTACTACTATTAAATCTAGATATATACTGAGAAATCTTCCAATTAAATTGATCAAAACAAGTATTAGGTCCAAAAATATAATTTGTGACCAATTTTGTGACTGAGTCCAGGTGAATAATAGCCCACTAGCTTGCTGATGTACTTCTTATAGACAGGTATGAAAAATTAATAGCTCTATAAAGTTTTGACCATCCTCCTAGGAGAAGTAGACATAACATCCTCTGCTAACTACTTGATGTAAAACACTAACCATCTAAGGGACAATTAGATATGTCAAGGGTTGATTCTCCATTTTCTGCTGGTTAAGATGTTATCATGGTATACCAGAAACAGAAAACATGAACTTTGGTTCCAACTCAGGCACCTGGTGCCAAGTTTGGTGAAAGCATCTCATGCACTGTCAAGGCTGTGAAATTCAATACTGAAAGCAAAGAAGGACTTCTGAATGTTAAGACTTCTATCAAATATACTTGGCCTCTTCTTCATTCACCCAACCCAGGTGGCAGTAGTCACAAGGTCACCAAATGATACATTCGATTTTCCTTACCTGGCACAAGCCAAAGCCACCAGGGCAGCAGCAGCATTTTCTTTTTGCTTATGTGGGATGTGTCGGCCTGTGTCAGAAGTCTCCTCTAGCCAAGAGCACAGCAAAGTTTCAATTCCATTGAGACAGTCAGCAGGCTCCTTGGTCAAGCTCAAAGGCTGGCAGTCACGAAGGCAGTTCAATAGCACCTCAGCAGTTATGTTACAGAGAGAGGGGTCTGTTCTACTCTGGGACTGAATAAGGGGGAAGACCAGCAGGAGCCCCATCCTCGATGTGAAGGGCGCTTGCTCAGGTTGCTGCAACAAGCCCTGGCGTTTGAGCAGGGCCAAAGTTTCCTCATCACCTGAACTTTCCCTTTCATGCTGTTCTTCTAAGGCCAGCTGGCGCTGGGCATTCCACAGTCCTCGCAAGGCATTCAGGCGGTATTCCAGCAGCCGGGCATAGGCATTGCTCTGATTCCCACAAACAGAGCGCAAACGTTCTGCTAATTCCGACGGGTTCTTGGTCTCAAAGGTTAAAATCTAAGGAAAAAGACGATGGAGAAGTGGGTAAATATTACTTTCACCAAAGTCATCTAAGGAAGAAAATATGTTTAATGATATCCCAAAATAGTCAACGCCAAAAATTATTTTAATTACAATCAAATGGAAAACGTATACTGTAAAGCCAGCTCTTTGCTGATGGAATTGTTCCCCTTTTGGCTTTTCTGTTAATGCTTCCATGAAAATTGGGATTAGACCTAATTGAAAGAGCCCAAATCATAAAAGAATATAGTTAAGTGTGAAAGTCAGAAATTAACTCCATAATTTATTTTAGAAAATTGAAGTATAAAGCCAGGCGTGGTGGCTCACGCCTGTAATCCCAACACTTTGGGAGGCTGAGGTGGGTGGATAGCTTGAGCCCAGCAGTTGGAAACCAGCCTGGGCAACATGGTGAAACCCTCTCTCTACCAAAAATACAAAAAATAGCCAGGCTTGGTGGTGTGCACCTGTCGTTGCGGCTACTTGGGAGACTGAGGTGGGAGGATTGCTAAAGCCCGGGAAGTAGAGGCTGCAGTAAGCCATGATGGTGCCCTGCACTACAGCCTGAGTGACAGAGCGAGACCCTGTCTCAAAAAATAATACTACAAAAAAAAAGGAAAAAAATTGAAGCATAAACCTTTAGTAAATGATCTTGAGTTATAAATGTTGTTTCTAGGACAGGCGCGGTGGCTCACGCCTGTAATCCCAGCACTTTGGAAGGCAGAGGCGGGCAGATCATGAAGTCAGGAGTTCGAGGCCAGCCTGGCCAACATGGTGAAACACCATCTCTACTAAAAATACAAAAAAAATTAGCCAGGCGTGGTGGCCCACGCCTGTAGTCCCAGCTACTCAGGACCCTGAGGCAGAAGAATTGCTCGAACCCGGGAGGTAGAGGTTGCAGTGAGCCGAGATCGCACCACTGAACTCCAGCCTGGGTGACAGAGTGAGACTCTGTCTTAAAAAAAAAAAGTTAAAGTTTCTAACTCCTATTACCAGATAGAGTACTAGTAAAAATGGAACCAAGTTTTATCTCTGTTCTTCAAAACCTAATATATATATGTTTAATAAATGATGGATTATTCACGGTTCTTTGGTTGTGAAGCATACCCCATTCTTTTTTTTTGAGATGGAGTCTTGCTCTCTTGCCCAGGCTGGAGTGCAATGGCCGATCTCAGCTCACTGCAACCTCCACCTCCCAGGTTCAAGCAATTCTGCCTCAGCCTCCCTAATAGCTGGGATTACAAGGGTGTGCCACCATGCCCGGCTAATTTTTGTATTTTTAGTAGAGACGAGGTTTCGCCACATTGGCCAGGCTGGTCTTGAACTCCTGACCTCAGGTGATCTGCCCACCTCGGCCTCCCAAAGTGCTGGGATTACAGGCCTGAGCCACTATGCCTGGCAGCATACCCCATTCTTAATAGTGTTAACCCATTATTTTAATTTGTGACATGGTAGAGATTTATCCAATTCATATTAGATTGTTTTCTTGCCAAAACATTCAATTATCAGGAGGCCTCCATTTTCAGCAGCTGGGGATAATAAAACCATTATATCTTCTATCAGCTAAGAAAGGAACCAGCTCTCAAGATCAAACTAAATCTCAAGAATCAAACTAAATTTACAATGCAAAGAGTTTATGCACATAAATTTGACTAGATCAAAACCAACAGACTACTGTAATCAACAAAGGAGGGCACTCTAGGAGCAAGCACACTGAAACAGATTATCAGACAATAGAGGTGCCTGGTTCACAGTAGACCAGAAAGTCAGGGTGGGAAGAGGCCTGGGACAAAAGTAAAGAAAATTCTGCCAGGTCTTTGGCACTGACATTAAGAAAGGTCATAGTGCAGTTTATTTCCCTTACAAACTGGAAAAATACTCTTTTATCTCAAATTTTGCCTTTAGAAACTTGTTATTAATATTTTAGCCCAATAAAATAACAAGAATTTCCAAAACAATGCAAACGCTGTAATTGCCTTGCTTAGCTACATATGCAAATCACTGAATTGAACTAAAAAAAAAGTTCACAATTTAAAAACAACAACACAAAACCAAAACAAAAGAAGCAAGAAGCTAAAGAAAAACAAAGATAAGCTGAATTAGAAGCTACTCAATTAGCAAAGGAGAAAGAACTTATAATTAGACAACAAGTATTACTGGCAAAGAAAGAAAAAGACATCCAAAAAAAAAAACATTACAAAGAAATGGTAAGCTAGGTGGGTGACATACGCCTATACTTCCAGCTGCTTGGGAGGCTGAGGCAGGACTGCTTGAACCCAGGAGTTCGAGGCTGTAGTGGCTATGATCGTGCCTGTGAATAGCCACTGCACTCCAGCCTAAGCAACATAGTAAGACCTTGTCTGCTAAAAAAAAAAAAAAAGAAGAAAGAAAAAGAAAGAAAGGCAAAAACTTCGAAACTCATCTAAGATCTGGAATCACTTTTCCAACAATGAGGCAGGGTGGGTTAAAATGATGGAAGAAGGCCAGGTGTGGTGGCTCATGCCTGTAATCCTATAACTTTGGGAGGCCAAGGTGGAAGGACTGCCTGAGGCCAGGAGTTCAAGGCTGCAGTGAGTTATGATGGCACCAGTGCACTCCAGCCTGGGTGACAGGGGGAGACCCTGTCTCAAAAAAGAAAAAAAAAAGAAATGATGCAAGTAGAAAAACTTTGTAATCAGCTTGAACTAGAAAGCTTACAGTAGTTGAATGAAACACATCATCTACAAAAGAAGTAGGAATGGCTGCTCTGGAAAAACAGAAGAAATAAATGAACAAATTACGAAGGAGAAACAGGAAGGTGGGGCTCGTATGTAATAAGCATCTAAGAATGCAGAGAAATAAACTGGCAGAGGTGGAAATGGCAGCAACAACTGGTAAGAAGATGATCTGCAGCTACAAGTTAAAGCTATGAATCTCTTCCCTGCTGGTATGAATTCAAGATGGGAAGTTGGTAAGTTATTGCTAATTACATCAACATACATTCTTCTACTGATGTCAAGACAACCACCAAAGGTGTTACTGGCAAAGCAAAGAGCCTCCAAAAATTGGACCCTCATCAAAAAGATGACAAACAAAAAAGGCTTTTGATAAACTTTAAAAAGAACATTGCCTCAAGCAGACAATGAAACACCTTCAGAATGATTTTACAGTCCATGCACCCACTTCACCCCTTGGAGAACGAACAGAAGCTTTTTGAACAAGCTTTGAAAACACACCCAGTCAACACACCTGAAAGATGAGAGAAAACAGCACAAACTGCCAGTACCTGGCAGGACAAAGAAAGGCTGCATGAAAAGATGCAAGGAACTTGCCAAGATGGTAAAAGCAAAGAAAGCTGCTCAAGAGCAAGTGTTGGCTGGGCGCGGTGGCTCATGCCTGTTATCCCAGCACTTAGGGAGGAGGAGGTGGGAGGATCACTTGAGGCCAGGAGTTCAAGACCAGCCTAGTAGTGAGACCTTGTCTCTAAAAATAAATAAATAAAATAAAATAAATAAAAAGAGCAAGGGTCGAATGCAGATAGAGTTAAGAAATGACTTAATCTTTATTGGGTGTGTACTTTTATAATAAAACTGAAAATACTGTGAAAACAAAACAACAAATTCCAATTCAAAAAATTAACTATAAGTATCTCAGTTAACTAATATGAAAAATATTCATAGTTTTAAAAAAATTCAGTGCCAGCTTATCAGATCTGATGTAATATCAGGATGCCATAAAATTTCAACCCACAACTTAGCAAAGAAAGAAACTATTGATAAACACAACTACTTTAAGGAATCTAATGGCATTTTGTTGAGAGAAGCCAATTTCCAAGGGTTATGTTCTGTATGATTTCATTTCTGTGACATTCTGGGAAAAAAAAAAAACTATGGTAATGGAGAATAGATCAATGGTTACCGGGGTTTAGGGGTAAGGGGAGGTAGGGTCTGACTACACAGGGATAGTATGAGGGAGTTTTTTTGGGGGGGTTGAAGGAATTGTTCCCAGTTGTGGTGGTGGTTACATGAATTAATAACATGTTAAAATTCATAGAACTACACACCTCCCAAAAAAGGCCAGTTTGACTGTATAACTTTAAAGATTAAATAAAAGGAAAAAAATTCCAACCAGACTATAGTTGTATTCAACTAGATATCACTGGGTAAAGATATATTGAAAATAATATCATTAAAAATAAAAATTAGAGGTATTTTTTACTGAGGTGCTTCTTTCTTTCTTTCTTTCTTCCTTCCTTCCTTCCTTCCTTCCTTCCTTCCTTCCTTCCTTCCTTCCTTCCTTCCTTCCTTCCTTCCTTCCTTCCTTCCTTTCTTTCTTTCTTTCTTTCTTTCTTTCTTTCTTTCTTTCTTTCTTTCTTTCTTTCCTCTCTCTCTTTCTTTCTTTTTTTTATTTTTTTTTTGACGGGGTCTCACTCACCCAGGCTGGAGTACAGTGGTGCAATCTTAGCTCACTGGAGCCTCAAGCTTCCCAGGCTCAGGTGGTCAATCATCCCACCTCAGCCTCCTGAGTAGCTGGGACTAGAGGCATGTGCCACTATGCAGCTAATTTTTTGTATTTTTTGTAGAGATGGGGGTCTCCCTACATTGCCCAGGCTAGTCTTGAACTCCAGAGCTCAAGCGATCTGCTTGCCTCAGCCTCCCAAAGTGCTAAGAGTATAGGCATGATCCACTGCGCTCAGCTACTTACTTAGTTTTTAATACAACCACATCAAACAAATAATGATTGATTAAATGTCCTTCACCATCAAGTAATATAAAACTGTATTTCCCTACCCTTTTATTTAGATTCACCAAACACACATTACCTTTTTATTTTTCAGATGGCAGCAGATAAAATAACTCAAGTTCCTTAAAAAATGATCACATTTCAAGGGCAACCACCTGCCTTGAAGCTGTTATCAAACTCAAGAAAGTCATACTGCCTATTTTCATTTGTTTTTTAGTGCTATTACCCCCAAAAATCAGTAACCAGCCTCCACTATTACAATCAATAAAGATTACTGAAATATTTTTCAATGATATGAAAAACTGCAAAATTTTAACTTTGATCATCTTCCCAGTCATAAACATCTAAACAAATAATAAAGTTTTTGGCACTTTAAAAAAGCTTTTCAGTATTGTTATTTCTTCCACCCAAAACAACTCTTTTATATAAAATACCTACCTATGTACTCAACATACATTTTTATTTATGGTACACCAATCATCTACTTATGTTATATGAAGCAACTACTAAAAAAATTCAATATAGTCTTTTATTGAACTCAAATGATGAACAACTCAGTAACATAAAACAGGGCTATTTATTTTTATTATTAAACATGAGTACTTCTGAAATATGACATTTCATGGTACATAAAATGATGTGTATGACAAAATCTGTTGCTAACTCCAAATATTAACTTAATATAGCTTAGAAAAATGACATAATATACTCTGCATTTTTCTGACCATTCTATTTTTACAAGTACTCCAGTTATATTTAGCATTCAATTTAAAAGACAAGTGCACTGAAAGAATTTGAGTTATAATATAATTAACCAAATATTATATAACATACACACTTAAATGACTGTTGTGTTTATTGATTTAGCAGTATCTAAAGCACACTATGCTTTCAGAAATCCATTAGGCTACTCAGCGTTATCCATTTCAGGGGCCCCTTATGAAAACTCAGAACTGTTTGCTATGCCACTGTTTTTTCAGAATTCTAAAGTTTGAAGGTCATGGCCTAAAATCATTTTATAAAAAGACATCATACCTTTGGGTTTTTGTAAGTCAGCTATGGCATATCTATTCTGGTACTTATGAATATTAAATGATTTGTCTCAGATCCTCACATAAAACCACTGCTCTTGACCAAAATGTCATTAGAAATTAATATTTTTCTCTTTAAAAAAGTGGAAAGCTATTTAAGGAAAAGGGAATATCCCTGTCATCCTTAATCAGAAGTGTTACTAACTGTACTTTGGTGATAATGCTAACGTTACCCTAATTAAGGGAGTGACTGCCAAAGTAACTCACAGCCTTCATGTATTTTTTTTAATCACACATAACATATGTGTTTTGTTGCCGTTTTTTTTTTTTTCTTTTGAGACAGGTTGACTCCAGCAGCCTTGCTCTGTCACCCAGGCTGCTGGAGTGCAGTGGAACGATCATGGCTCACTGCAGCCTGAGCCTCTCAAGTAGCTGGAACCACAGGCCTGCACCACCACACTCGGCTAATTTTTTGTATAGACAGGGTCTCGCTATGTTGCCCAGGCTAGTCTCAAATTCCTGGGCTCAAGCAATCCTCCTGCCTCGGCCTCCCAAAGTGATGGGATTGCAGGCATGAGCCACCGCACCTGGCCAACATAAGTGTTTTTAAACTAAGGAAACAGTCATTCTGGAAAGTCTAATTGAATGTGGGTAAAATATTCTTTGCTGGCCAAATCTGGCTTTGAACAAGACTACAATATCTGATAGAAGAACAGAGTGGTCAGGCCAGCTGTGATGGCTCACGCCTGTAATCCCAACACTTTGGGAGGTTCAGGTGATCTTGAGGCCAGGAGTTTGAGACCAGCCTGAGCAACATGGCAAGACAGTCTCTACAAAATAAAAAATAATTAGCTGGGTGTGGTGGCATGCACCTATAGTCCCAGCTACCTAAAAGGCTGAGGCAGGAGGATTGCTTAAGCCCAGGAGTTCAAGGCTGCAGTGAGCTATGATTGCACCACTGCATTCCAACCTGAGTGACAGAGTGAGACCCTGTCTCAAAAACAAAAACAAAAACAAAAAAAACAGATGATCAATCAGATCATTTTAGCCAATTTACTAATTTATTTCCATTTTTTTCTGGGAAAATACTGGACAACAGATACCAGCCAGCCATGATGTGAAATGTGAAATGCCAACCTGCATTTCAAGTAAGTGTAGGAGTGAGGATAGGCATATAGACGCTTTTGAAGTTGTAGAGAATATTATATATACATATAAGGACATTAACTAGACTAATCATTAGCATAAACTACTATAATCCTGTAAGGATAAACATCGATTTCCATCTACTTTGCTGTTCAGAATAGCAGAGAGATAATTATTGAAAAGGGTCAAGTAAGAAGCTAAAATCATCTTCTCTCTTGTCTATACAAATATATATACAAATATATATTTGAGCATATTTCTGAAAGAAATAGAAATTATATTTCTAGGAATTTGTCCTAAAGCAATATTCTAGAAGTAAGAAATACACAGAGATATTCATTGCAGTATTGTTTATTATAGTGGGAAAGGTAGAAGCAATCTCAATGTATAAAAGGGAAGTGTTGGGCCAGGCGCGGTGGCTCACGCCTGTAATCCCAGCACTTTGGGAGGCCAAGGTGGGCAGATCATGAGGTCAAGAGTTCGAGACCAGCCTGGTGAAACCCCGTCTCTACTAAGAATACAAAAATTAGCCGGGTGTGGTGGCGCATGCCTGTAATCCCAGCTACTCAGAAGGCTGAGGCAGGAGAACTGCTTGAACCCGGGAGGTGGAGGTTGCAGTAAGCCAAGATCGTGCTACTGCATTCCAGCCTGGGCGACAGAGCAAAACTCCATCTCGGGGAGGAGAAAAAAAGGAAGTGTTTAATTAAATTATAACATCTCAAAATGAAATATTAATGATTTTTTATTTATATTAAATAAAACATTAAATTAAATTAAATCATTAAATAAAAAATTATTAAAACCACAATAGAAAGCAGTATAAAAATTGCATATGCCCTCTAATTAGGAGTCTGTAAAACACACTTGTTCAATTTTGAAATTAGTGTTTGTGAAAATAGAAACATGGATGTTATTTTTTCTCTGTTTCAAAAACAACAGACTAATGACAAGTTACATTGTTCATACAGAAGAAATGCTTAGAACATCTGAGTTTCCAAAGACAAAAAAAAGAAAAGCAGTCATAACTAGCACTGATAATTTTTCACACGCAAACGCTATCTTTCAATAACTGGTAGTCAAACAAATGGTGACACAAGTACCACAGGAAATGCTTTCCTTACATCAGTTCACTAGTCCCATCTGTTGTACTTTGGCAGCAGTTAATTTCAAATAATGTAGAGCTGATTATGTTCCTGGTTAGGACGGAAGACAGGATGGTAAATGGGAAAGACCCTGCAGATATTGGGAACTATCAATGAACAATAAAACCTTTCAATTTCCAAAAGGAAATGATGTTTAAAACTCAGGGTCACTTGGGCTCTAAGCAGATGAATTATATTACTATACTCCCCGGTATGGGACATTAACCAATTCAATTCATTATATGAACCTGTCAGCATAAAAGGAATTTATACTTGGATTATTTCAAAGGAGATCGACTGGCTAGACTTGCAACCTCAATGTAAAACTATTTATTTATTTATTTATTTATTTATTTATTTATTTATTTATTTTGAGACAGGGTCTTGCCCTGTCATCCAGGCTGGAGTGCAGTGGTGCAATCTCAGCTTACTGCAACCTCCACCACCTGGGCTCAAGTGATCCTCCCACCTCAGCCTCCTGGGTAGCTGGGACTACAGGCATTCACCACTATGCCTAGCTAATTTAAACATTTTTTAGAGGTGGGGTTTCACCATGTTGTCTAGGCTGATCTCAAACTCCTGGGGTTCAAGTGATCCTCCTGCCTCAGCCTCCCAAAGTGCTGGGATTACAGGCATGAGCCAGTATGCCCTGCCAATACAAAACTTTTAAGTAAAGGCAGAATACTGAAACCCTCTCAAATGTTAGAATAGATGCTTAAACCTTTCTACAGATTTTTTTTCTACCATTTTTCACATAATGAAGACAGCAATCATAGCCAAATTGAATTGCATGTTGCAATCAACAAAGACTTGAAAAGCTCTCATGCGAGCCAAGTAAGTACATCATGATGGGAGGGTGGAATTCTCTCTTACTAAAGCCCAAATCCAGGGTGGATCACTTATCAATTAAATTAGACCCTGAAGCTGCACGACCTTATCCAACTTGGAAATATGTGTTTATTCAAACTCACTTTTCAACATCTCTTATTTGTAAAAAGGGTCTTAAACCTAACTGAGAACGAGGATATTAAATTTCCACACTTTAATTCATGAGTTTTAGCCTCTAACTGGATGCCAAAACTGGAATGGACTCTGACTTCTTGCTAGATTTTTTAGTTTTGGCTAAGCCCTGCAAAACTTTCTCCAGCATATGGTGACTTTCCCAGATCTTCATATAACTGCTGGTGACAGCAGGATTGTCAGAATTGTGAGGACTCCAATACATAAGAAATTACTGTTCAAATTCTTTTACCATGAAAGTTCCATCTTGTTGTGGCCCCTGCCCAGTTTTCATCTTTTGTGCTGTCCCTTTGACCAGGGTTCTATTTTTCCATCTCCCTGCTCTTGTTGCCTGAATGCCTACCCGACTCAGTGTAAATCCTACCTTTCAAAATTCAGCCCTGCTCCATCAAGACCTACTTTGAGAAACTCTGATTTCCTCTCTTTCTCTTCCCCTTTCCAAAACAGTTTCTCTGAGTTTTCACAGTACTGTATACATACTTCTTATCAGAAAGTCAGCTACAAACTATAAGGAAAAGTGTTTTAGCTGTTTTAATAAGAATGTATTGATTTGTTTTGGGTTTTTTGTTTTTTTTTTTTTTTTTAACAGAGTCTCGCTCTGTTGCCCAGGCTGGAGTGCAGTGGTGCAATCTCAGCTTATTGCAACCTCCGTCTCCTGGGTTCAAATGATTCTC
Organism: Homo sapiens; assembly: GCF_000001405.40. Lineage (NCBI taxonomy): Eukaryota > Metazoa > Chordata > Mammalia > Primates > Hominidae > Homo > Homo sapiens. The sequence goes on from NC_000012.12 coordinate 112,329,478, forward strand.
GTGCCTCAGCCTCCCGAGTAGCTGGGATTACAGATGTCCACCACAACATTGGGTTAATTTCTGTATTTTTGGTAGAGACAGGGTTTCGCCATGATGGCCAGGCTGGTCTCGAATTCCTGGCCTGAAGAGATCCGCCCACCTCGGCGTCCCAAAGTGCTGGAATTACAGGCATGAGCCACCACACTTGGCCTATTGATTTGTTTTTAATAAATGGTATCTCAGAGGCATCAAATCCATATCTAAAATTTTCTCCATGTTACAAAATCATTTTTTCATCAACATCAAATCTTGACAAAATAAATACAGATCATATACCTATGCTTAGTAATTAACAGAATAGAATTTGGAGGTTGGGTACAGTGGCTCACGTCTGTAATCTCAATACTTGGGAAGGCCTAAGAGGTAGGATCGATTGCTTGAGCCCAGGAGTTTGAGACAAATCTGGGCAACATAGTGAGACCCCATCTCTACTTTTTTTAATAAAAATATTTTTTAAAAATCAAAAATTTGGAGGACTAGCCGGGCGCAGTGGCTCACGCCTATAATACCAGCACTTTGGGAGGCCAAGGTGGGCAGATCACCTGAGGTCAGGAGATCGAGACCAGCCTGACAAACACAGTGAAACCCCATCTCTATTAAAAATACAAAAATTAGCCGGGCGTGGTGATGGGCGCCTGTAATCCCAGCTACTTGGGACGCTGAGGCAGGAGAATCCCTTGAACCTGGGAGGCGGAGGTTGCAGTGAGCTGAGATCGCACCACTGCACTCCAGCCTGGGCAACAGAGTGATACTTTGTCTCAAAAAAAAAAAAAAAGGAAGACATAGGACTAAACTCTTCAAAATGGTTTGAATACTATTGTACATTTTATTATTAGGAGTATTTAGAGAAAGAAGATATTTCCACAAAATTTCTGCAGACTAACTTTATCTGTTGCTTGAATTACATACTTAAAGACTAATATAGTGCAACATATTCACCAAATGCTTGGCATAAATATATTATGGTAAGAAAATCACTATTGACAATTTTTAATACAAAACTATAACAAATTTAAAAAGGAAACTGAACAGCTCTGATACGTGTAACAGTTACCACACTCCACTATGATGTTATTTATTTACAGTTTGTCTTCCCTTTCAACTGTGAGCCCCAAAAGGGGGAGACCATGTCATACTCATGTTTGTGTCCCCAGAGCTGAGCACAGTGTCTGGCACATAAATGTTTGATAAATTAATGAATGAGAAGATAAATAAATTCCAAGAATAATCCTCTTAGGGCTTACACCTGGTTTCCACTGTACATCTGAGTAATCCTCTCCCACTTGGACTAATTTTACTTTTGCCTTCTGGAATGATGGAAAATAATCCTCTCTCTTCCACATAAGAACCTTTTAATTAGATGAAGAAAATACATGTGGTGAGGGGGAGGGGACATCAGAATATGATTTAGGGCAGCTGTTCTCAATCCTGAATATTAGAATTGTTTTGACAGCTTTTAAACAAGAGTAGTGAGTTGGTCCCGCCCCGGTCTGGTTACCTCAGAATATGTGAGGATGGGGCCTAGGCATCGGTTTTTTTGTTCTGGTGTGTTTTGGTTTGTTTTGTTTTTTTTGAGATGGAGTCTCGCTGTATCACCCAGGCTGGAGTGCACTGGCATGATCTCGACTCATGCAACTGCCGCCTCCCGGATTCAAGTGATTCTCATGCCTCAATCTCCCTAGTAGCTGGGACTACAGGCACGTGCCACCACGCCCAGCTATTTTTTGCATTTTTAGTAAAGACAGGGTTTCACCATGTTGGCCAGGATGGTCTTGAACTCCTGACCTCAGGTGATCCTCCTGCCTCGGCCTCCCAAAGTGCTGGGATTACAGGCATGAGCCACCACACCTTGTCCAGCATCAGTTTTTAAAGCCCACAGGTGAATCCAATGTGCAGCCAAGATTTCAAACCACTGAGTTGGGGGAACTAGGTTCTATGCCAGCCTCTGCAAATAACTCTCCCTCCCCTTAGGCATTTTACTTCAGGTCTCTCAGTCTGTATTTCCGCATCTATAAAACGAGGGTAGCACCTCCCTTCATTTTACACAGTTGTTAAAATCTAAGGAGATCATGTACAGTCAATGCTCTGAAAAAGTTGAAATTGCTAAATAATTGTTATGACATTAAAGATACTCTTTCCATGTATAGACCAGATCACCAACAAGAAAGGGAATTTTTCCTGATGGTCATACAACAAAGACCTGACTAGATAAAAGCTGGGAGAGTCAGGGGTGGCATAAGCGAGGTTTGAGTTAAACACAAGCTTCACTTGAGCCAACACTGTTTTCAAAAGCTAATGCAATCTTAGAATGCATCAGTAGAATTCCAGTGTCAGGGACAAGGGAGGTAATAATCCCATTTATATTCTGCAATGGTCAAACTATAACTGGAATATCCTGTTCAGTTCCAAGTACCTCATTTTAAGAAGCCATTAAGAGACTAGAGTGTGTCCAGAAGAAGATGATTTGACTAATCTGGAAATCATGTCACATGAAAAATGGTTAAGGAACTGGGGATGCGTGGCCTACAGAAGAGACGGGTGGGAAGGGGGAGCTGTCTTCCTAAGACTGAAGGGCTGTCATGTGGAAGAGGAAGACCTATTCTCTATTATACCACAAGCAGAAATAGGAAGTTACTGGTATGCACAAAGCATAATAAAGAACTTTGATAATATGTCACTCAAACAGTGTGCATCAAAATCCCTGGATGTGCTCACTTTATATAAAGATTCCTGGGGCAGGGCGCGGTGGCTCACACCTATAATCCCAGCACTTTCAGGGGCTGAGGCAGGTGGATCACCTAAGGTCGGGAGTTTGAGACCAGCCTGGCCAACCAACATGGTGAAACCCCATCTCTACTAAAAATACAAAAATTAGCCGGTCCTGGTGGTATGAGCCTGTAATCCCAGCTACTGGGGAGGGTGAGGCAGGATAATTGATCGCTTGAACCCAGGAGGTGGAGGTTGCAGTGAGCCAAGATTGTGCCACTGCACTCCAGCCTGGGTGACAGATTAAGACTCTGTCTCAAAAAAAAAAAAAAAAAAAAAGATTCCTGGAATCCATTTCTAAAGATTTTTCCAGAGGTCTAGGATATTGCCCTGGAATCTGCATTTAAGCAAGCTCCTTGGGTGACTTTACGGACTCCTTTTATAAAAAATAATATAATCTTTATTAAAGATTTGTTGTAACATAATTCACGTACCATAAAATTCATCCACCTAAAATATAATTCAATGGCCTTTAGTATAATACATTCACATTTCAGAACATTTTCATCACACACCCCCACCCTACTGCAAAAAAAAAAAACAAAAATCCTGAACCCATTAGCAGTCACTCTCCATTTTCCCCAAATCTCCCAGCCCTTGGCAACCACTATTCTATTTTCTATATTTATAGATTTGCCTATTCTTTACATTTCATATAAATGGAATCATATTATGTGAGGTCTTTTGTAATTGGTCTCTTTCTCTCAGTATACTGTTTTCAAGGGTCATCCATATTTTAACATGTGTCAATATTTCATTCCTTTTATTGCTGAATAAAATTCCTTTGTATAGCTAGACCACATTTTATTTATCTATTCATCAGTTGATGGACATTTTAATTGTTTTCATTTTCGGCTATTACGAATAATGCTGCTATGAACATTCATGCACAGGTTATACAGACATGTTTCCATCCCCCTTGTGTAAATATCTAAAAATGGAACAGCCGAGTCACATGTTAACTCTATGTTTACCATCTAGAGGAAATGCTAGACTGTTTTCCTAGATGGCTGCACCATTTTACATTCCCACTAGCAACACATGAGGATTTTAATTTCTCCACATCTTTGGTGCCACTTGTTATTATGTATTTCTGATTATAGTCATCCTAGTGGGTGTGAAGTGGTATGTTCATGTAGTTTTAACTTGCATTTCTCTAATGGGTAATGACGTTGAGCATCACATCTTTTAATGGGCTTATTGGCCATTTGTATATCTTCTTTAGAAAAAAAATTATCCATTTTGAGAAACAATGATATTGCCAGATTAGTATGGACAATAGAGGCCAGACATGGTGGCTCATGCCTGTAATTCCAGCACTTTGGGAGGCCAAGGAGGGAGGACTGCTTGAGCCCACGAGTTCAAGACCGGGGCAACAGAGCAAAATCCCTGTATCTATTAAACAAACAAACAAAAAAAGCACAATAATGCAAGGGATAGAAAAACATCAAATGTTTAAGTCCACAAGTTCATACTCTTACAAAAAGGAAAATTATCACTAGAGGATGTTGGCAAACCAATTCATTATTTTGAAAATTGCTTAATATAAGGAGAAATGCAAACATTTATCCTGATTTCTCATATGTATTCTACACCTAGGTAAGCAAATGGCTGATGAGAGAAAACTTCACTTTAAGTAAGTGGGGCCAGGTGCGGTGGCTCATGTCTGTAATCCCAGCAGTTTGGGACCCCAAGGTGGGTGGATCACCTGAGGTCAAGAGTTCAATACCAGCCTGGCCAATATGGTGAAACCCCATCTCTACTAAAAAACACAAAAATTAGCTGGGTGTGGTGGTGCGTGCTGTAGTCCCAGCCACTTGGGAGGCTGAGGCAGGAGAATCGCTTGAATCCTGGAGGTGGAGGTTGCAGTGGGCCGAGATCATGCCACTGCACTCCAGCCTGGGCGACAGAGCCAGACTCCCTCTTAAATAAATAAATAAATAAATAAATAAATAAATAAATAAATAAAGTGGGAGAAAATCTTCACAATCTATACATCTGACAAAGGACTAATATCCATAATCTACAGTGAACTCAAACAAATTAGCAAGAAAAAAAAAACAATCCCATCAAAAAGTGGCCTAAGGACATGAATAGACAATTCTCAAAAGAAGATATACAAATGGCCAACAAACATATGAAAAAATGCTCAACATCACTAATGATCAGGGAAATGCAAATCAAAACCACAATGTCATACCACCTTACTCCTGCAAGAATGGCCATAATCGGCCAGGCACGGTGGCTCACGCCTGTAATCCCAGCACTTTGGGAGGCCGAGGCGGGCAGATCACGAGGTCAGGAGTTCGAGACCAGCCTGGTCAACACAGTAACCCCTGTCTCTACTAAAAATACAAAAAAAAAAAAAAAAAAAAAAATAGCCGGCATGGTGTGGTGAGTGCCTGTAATTCCAGCTACTCGAGAGGCTGAGGCAGGAGAATTGCTTGAACCTGGGAGGGAGAGGTTGCAGTGAGGAGAGATCCTGCCATTGCAGTCCAGCCTGGGTGACAAGAGTGAAACTCTATCTCAAAAAAAAAAAAAAAAGCCATAATCAAAAAAATTAAAAAATAATACACGTTGGCATGGATGTGGTGAACAAGGAACACTTCTGCATTGCTGGTGGGAATGTAAACTAGTACAACCACTATGGAAAACAGTGTGGAGATTCCTTAAAGAACTAAAAGTAGAATTACCATTTGATCCACCAATCCCACTACTGCATATCTACCCAGAAGAAAAGAAGTCATTATACAAAAAAGATACTTGCACATGCATGTTTACAGCAGCACAATTTGCAATTGCAAAAATGTGCCACCCACCCAAATGCCCATCAACCAACAAGTGGATAAAGAAACTGTGATACACACACACACACACACACACAGACACACACACACAATGGAATACTACTCAGCCATAAAAAGGAATGAATTAATGGCATTTGCAGCAACCTGGATGGGACTGGAGACTATTACTCTAAGTGAAGTAACTCAGGAATGGAAAACCAAACATCGTATGTTCTCACTTGTAAGTGGGAGCTAAGTTATGAGGATGCAAAGGCCTAAGAATGACACAATGGGGTTTGGGGACTCAGGGGGAAAAGGGTGGGAAGTGGGTGAAGGATAAAAGACTATAAATTGCGGCTCATGCCTGTAATCCCAGCACTTTGGGAGGCCGAGGTGGGCAGATCACGAGGTCAGGAGTTCGAGACCAGCCTGGCCAACATGGTGAAACCCTGTCTCTAAAAATATAAAAATTAGCTGGGCACAGTGGTGCGCGCCTGTAGTCCCAGCTACTCGAGAGGCTGAGGCAGGAGAATCGCTTGAACCCAGGAAGCGGAGGTTGCAGTGAGCCAAGATCACACCGCTGCTCTCCAGTCTGGGTGACAGAGTGAGACTCTGTCTCAAAAACAAAAGACTATAAATTGGGTGCAGCGTATACTGCTCAGATGATGGGTGCACCAAAACCTCACAAATCACCACTAATGAACTTACTCATGGAACCAAGCACAACCTGTTCCCCAATAACCTATGGAAATAAAAAATAAAAATAAATAAATAAGTGTTCTAGTTAATAAGTGAAAGACAAACAATCATTGTTTTGCAATCTCTACCGATTTAATAGATTTAGGCAGTGAGCTTTAGCAGCTGCAAACATCACAAAAAGAGACAAGCAGACATTATGTGTGCACTGATGAAGTTATATACCATCACCCATGAAGAAGTCTTGGGAAAAAAAAAAATCAAACCTGAGTGGTACCAAATCACGGTCTAGAGATCCAAATATGAATTTACAGAAAATAGTGAACAAAGAAAAAATATATTAAACTATATCATGAGGATGAAATAAGCAAAATCTAGACTGCAGAAAACAAGACAAATAACCAATTTTCTTCGACAAATAAACTGCAAGGCAGAAAGTTTGTGTGTGGCGGGAAAGAATTATAGTTTAAAAAACATGGCCGGGCGCGGTGGCTCATGCCTGTAATCTCAGCACTTTGGGAGGCCGAGGCAGGTGGATCATGAGGTCGGGAGATCAAGACCATTCTGGCTAACACGGTGAAACCCTGTCTCTACTAAAAATACAAAAAATTAGCTGGGCATGGTGGCAGGCACCTGTAGTCCCAGCTACTCAGGAGGCTGAGGCAGGAGAATGGCGTGAACCTGGGAGGCGGAGCTTGCAGTGAGCCGAGATCGCTCCACTGCACTCCAACCTGGGCAACAGAGCAAGACTCCGTCTCAAAAAAAAAAAAATTCGCACAATTATAAAAATTGGAAATTTGAATACTGCCAATATATTTAATTATATTAAATAATTATTGTTAATTTTAAAAGATATGATTGATTGTGGTTATGTTTTAAAAGGAGTACTCATCTTTTGATATATACTTAAATATTTATAGATAAGATAACATGTAATGGATTTACTTCAAAGTAATATGGGAATAACATGGGAAAGAGAAAAGAAGGTAGAAGTACAAATGAAATAAGATTAGCCACGAGCTGATAATTGTCGAACTTGCTGATGGGTACATAAGGGTTTATTATGTGATTCACCTACTCTTACGTATTTTTACAATTTTCCAAATTTGTTATAATAAGTTTTTTAACAAAAGCTTGTCAAAAATGAAATAGGGTATATTGAATGATTATGATCACTGGCTGTGATCAAGAAGAAACTGATAGCCTTTCATGATAGTTCTTGTAATGTAAATGACACACAAGAATTTTTTCTTCCAATGCTAGGAAGCTATTAAAATCAGCAGCGTTTTAAAACAGGCCTAGCTAAATCACCTCAATTCACCACTTAGTTTTGCAGATAGAAACTTTGAGACTCAAAACTGTTTATAAACAACTAATATTAATTCAGTTTCCTCAGAAGTAAATATATTTGTTTAAAAGACTTACCTCTAAGGCACACAAATTAATCAAATGAGAAAATGCATTTAAAACTTTTAAGTGTCAAATGCAATTCACCTCTAAGGTCCACTTACTGTTAGTATGAGCAATATTTTTATCATCAAATGATATACTTGATGAGACAAGGGGGTAATACATTTTCTGGGATTAACAACTAATATCTGTTCCCTCAAAATATATGCACAAATATACTATCTAATTGAGCAGAAAGGTTAGCGTTATCAGAAAGAGAGAAACAGAAAAAAACTCTTACCAATCTATGTTTAGCCAAAAAAGATTTTGTATGATGGCATAGAGTAAAACTACAAGTAAACAAAACAGAAACAAAAGAGTATGACAATTCACGTAATGAGTACCAACAAATCACTGGATTATTTTCTAGAGAGAAGAAAGAATATGTGCAGAAAATATTAACTGGTTGATGGATGAGGCAAGTGAAATAATAGTTATAATGCATTATCTACAACACATGCATAAACTTAACCAAATCCCTCAACTTCATTACTATAGTATTCAACACTACAGTATTAACGGTTTTACTTTCTTATTAATGTACTCCATTATTTCTTGTTTTTGCATTCCAAACTAAATTTTTTAAAATTTGCACTAGTTTTACAGAATTGCTTAGTAAAAATCTCCTGCTGGAAAAATGTTGAAAGAATGTGGAGCAATTCTTTGACACTCCTGGTAGAAATAGAAATTGGTTCAAAAACCTTGGAAATCAATGTGGCATTATCCGATTATGCTGAAAATGCATTATATTAGTTTCCTGTGCCTACTGTAACAAATCACCAGGAATTTTGTGGCTTAAAACAACAGATATTTACTCTCTCACAGTTCTGGAGGCTAGAAGTCTGAAATCGGTATCACTGGGCTGAAATCGAAGTGTCGGCAGGGCTGCACTCCCTCCAGGGGCTCTAGTAAAGAATCGGTTTCTTGCTTCTTCCAGCTTCTGTTGGCCAACAGCATTCCCTGGCTTGTGGCCACATAACTTTAATCTCTTCTTTGTGTAATCTCTCTCTGCCTCTGTCTTATGTAGACACTTATGATTCCATTTAAATACTGATGATTCCACATCTACAAAGACCCTTTCTCCATATGTGTTAGGCCATTCTTGCATTGGTATAAAGAAATACCTGAGGCCGGGCACAGTGGCTCACGCCTGTAGTTCTACTTTGCGAGGCTCAAGTGGGCAGATCACTGGAGGCCAGGAATTTGAGACCAGCCTGGCCAACATGGTGAAACCCCATCTCTACTAAAAATACAAAAATTAGCTAGACATGGTGGTGCGTGCCTGTAGTCACAGTTACTCAGGAGGCTGAGGCAGAGAATCGCTTGAACCCAGGAGGCGCAGGTTGGAGTGAGCCAAGATCACACCACTACACTCCAGCCTGGGTGACAGAGTGAGACTCTATCTCAAAAAAAGAAAGAAAGAAAGAAAGAAAAAAGACATACCTGAGACTCGGTAATTTATACAGAAAAGAAGTTTAACTGGCTCACAGTTCTGCAGGCTGTACAGAAAGCATGGTGCCAGCATCTGCTTGGCTTCTGGGGAGGCCTTACGGAGCTTTTACTTGTGGAGGAAGGTGAAGCAGGAGCAGGCATCTCTCACATGGCAGAGTGGGAGCAAGAGAGAGTTAGGAGGAGGTGCCACATACTTTTAAAGAAACAGATCTTCTGAGAACTCACTCACCAGTGAGGACAGCACCAAGAATACGCCCCTATGACCCAAACACCTCCCATCAGGCCCAACCCCCAACACTGGGGATTATAATTCAACGTGAGATTTGGTAGGGACATATATTCAAACTACATCACCATATAGGATAACATTTACAGGTTGCAGGGACTAGCCTACAATCCATCAATCCACTCCTAGGTAATTCCCTATAGAAATTCTTGCACATGAACACCACATGACACGAACAAGAATATTCGTAGCAACACTGTTTATAATATCAAAAAGTGGAAACAACCCAAATATCCACCAACAGGAGAATGGGTACACTGTGTCATAGTTATATAATCCAAAATTATGCAGCAGTGAAAATAAATGAAGTATAGTGACACATATCAACACACAAGAATCATGTAACACATGCAGGGTCCAAGAAAATGCAAGTCACAAAAAAATACACATGACATACTACATTTATATAATAAAGTCTTAAAACACACAAAACTAAAATAAGCCCTATATTGTTTAGGGCTATATGCATAATATGATAAAATAATAAAAGCAAAAGAAAAACAAAATTCAGAAGGGCAGTTTCCTATGTGGAAGAGAGGGAGTGTTGGTCTTGTACAGCTGACCAGGAGCTTTAAAGGTACTAGTAAGGGTCTATATCTTAACTGGATGGTAGGATCACAGGAAAATAAGGGGTGTGTGTGTGTGTGTATGTTTGTGTGTGTATTTAAAATGGCTACTCAAAAGATAGAGATACACAAACATGCACATACACATCCACTCAGACCTTTTAAATACAGACAGTCCCTGACTTACGATGTGCTTACATCTAGATAAACCTACCATAAGTGGAAAATGTAAACTGAAAACACACTTTCAGCCAGGCACAGTGGCTCATGCCTGTAATCCCAGCACTCTGGGAGGCTGAGGCAGGTGGATTACCTAAGGTCAGGAGTTCGAGACCAGCCTGGCCAACATGGTGAAACCCCGCCTCTACAAAATATACAAAAATTAGCCAGTCATGGTGGTACACACCTGTAATCCCAGCTACTTGGGAAGCTGAGGCAGGAGAATCGTTTGAACCCGGGAGGCAATGGTTGCAGTGAGCCAAGATTGCACCACTGCACTCCAGCCTGGGTGACAGAGTGAGACTCAAAAAAAAAAAAAGAAAAGAAAACTCACTTTCAACTTACAGTATTTTCAATTTATGATGGGTTTTTCAGGATGTAATTCATCATAAGTCAAAGAACATCTGTATATGATATAATTAATAATAAAAAATTGTAATTCCTATTGGTTGTTATTCCAGTACTGGAAAGCAGACTAAGATCACCATCCCCACTGCTGATAAGCACGAAATGGTTTCTCTAGAGATGTGGCTCTATCACTGTATAATGAAAGTATTCCCAATGCAAGGTGTGATGAGCCCAAGTGCTTCACATTTTTAGAAACAGTGTGAGCTGATGCACAAGCTACACTTGGGATGATGCTGCAATCAGCTCTGCCTCTGGAAGGAGCTATTGCTTGTCTGGGAGACTAAAGCCTAGACCAGGAGCTCTCCCATTGAGGTAGGAGGGAGAAACTGTCTTCCAGGTGGCATCTGGCAAGGTCTAGAGATATTTTTGGTTGTCGCAAGTATAGACGAGCTACTGGCATCTAGTGGGTAGAGACCAGGGATGCTGCTTACATCCTACAATGCACAGGACAGCCCCACAGCAAAGAATGATCTGGCTCAAAATGTCAATAGTACTGAGGATGAGAACGCCTGGTCTATAGTGACCCCTTGATAGAGTGTGTGCAGTAAGGCTAACTATTGCCATATGACATTAAGTACAACAATACCATCTCTCATAAAAGATATAGAAAGCCCCTGTTTGCAAAATTTATCAATCCTCAGAATTGTGCATAGGAACGATTCTATTCATGTGCCGAATTTGACAAATTTTATATATAATTATTAGGTACCAGAAGGATGCTGATAGACTGCATGCTCAAGGGTGGGGATTTACATTAATTCATCTTTATACCTTCTGCATTCAAACCTCAATGTGTCTTGAATAGTTTCTCCTGAAATGAGGCACAAAACACAATACCTGGCACAAGGTAAGCACTCAATAACATTTACTAATATTATTTTTAAAAATCTTTTTCGAATTAACTCTAAACTCTTGTCAGTATAGCTTATAGCTTTGTCTGTTTTGCTCACCAATGTATCACAAGTGCCAGAGAACTTGGCACATAATAGATGCTAGACAAATATTTACTGAATGAGCAGCAGATTAAAAATGCTACCTGTCAGTGCACATACATTAAAAATGCCACCTGCTAGGGAACATACATGCTCCCCCAAACAAGACAAACAAGCTACAGAAGGAGCAACAGACACAATAAGGCACCACTTCCAAATGCACTCCCAGGTCAGCACTTCTGTTTGAGACTTCTGACCCTTCACCTTTTTTAAGATCAGAGGCATTAACCTGTGCCTCTAAACCTGTGGTTTGTAACTGTTTGGCTGAATGTGAATATGCACCCAGTGACTACTCAATAAAAATTCCCAATAACTATGGCTGACCACTAAGTCCCTCTAAGAAACATAAGAAAGGTTACCTATTTTATGCCACTGAATCTTGCCCTTCCTGTCAATTCCTGCTCACAGCTGTGCCTGACTAATTAAAACTCCCTGGAAACCTCGTCTATCGCTTTACGGGTTATTTCTTCTGCTACATCAAAAGACTCCACTTTAGAATTCAAATCCATCTGTCTCCCTCAGTCTGCAAAGAACAAATGTTCAGAAAAACTAACCGACTAGCTAAAATTAAATGTACCTTTCCCAGCTAAGACTTAATATGTGTTGGGGGCAGGGAGCAAGCAATCTAAGGATAAACCACTAAAAAGAAGATAAAACAAAGCTTAACCATATGAGATAGTACTTAGATAGTCATTCAACTCCCATCTTAGCAGACCAGGGACAAATCCAGAAATTCTTGGTTGAAATGGATTTATATCCAAAGGCAAAATTTTCTGGTGAAGCTAATATATGACAAACATTGCTCACCCAAAATAATATGACTCTAGACCCCAAAGGTTTGCTCATCCATTTTCCTCTCATTTGGACCTCAGAGAGCCTAAATTGGCTCATAACCTATAGCTTCACTTTTTGATATATGAAATGATTTATTGTTGAAGGCTAACTATTGCCATCTGACATTAAGTACAATAAAATCTCTCACAAAAGGATTTATTGTTGAACTATTGGTCCTATCCCATGATCAGAAAAACACTAAAGGCCGGGCATGGTGGCTCACACCTGTAATCCTAACACCTTGGGAGGCCAAGGCAAGAGGATTGCTTGAGCCTGGGAGTTCAAAACCAGCCCGATCAACACAGGAAGACCCTGTTTTCAACAAAAAAATTAAAAATTAGCCAGTTGTGATAGTGCATGCCTGTAGTCCTACAGGCTCAGGAGGCTGAGGTGGGAGGATCGCTTGAGCCTAAGAGTTTGAGGCTGCAGTGAGCAATGACCGTACCACTGCACTCCAGCCTGGGTGACAGAGTAAGACCCTGTCTATTTAAAAACAAACAAACAAACAAAAAACAATAAGAAATGTAATCTAGTTTTTATGACCTTTCTTTGGAACCTATAACTTCAAACTTCTAAGAATTGTTTCAATTATTGAAGTAAAATATATAAAATTGCCTGATCTTAATGCTGCTTTTACTATCGCATCTGAGTTACAGTTTTGCCTAGAAGTAATTACAGGATGAATACACGAAAATATTCTAGAACACTGAAAAAAACTCTAGTGCAAAATGGATTTTAAGCAAGAAGTTGCCTCTGTGAGATCTGATTAAATTTTTGCTGCCAAAACCACGTATGCCAAATTATGCCATGTCATACCTATCTTCTGTGATGTCACAAGACATCTAAAGTTCAACTTCTCTTTCCAATATGCTTTTTCACCAAAGAAATCCTTTCCCTAGTAAGCAATGTAACAGTTAAAATGAAGCATAAATCACAACCAAAAAATTTTACTTCTTAGAAAGTTCCTTCAAAAACACTGTAATTTATTACACTGATGCACATGTAATTTACAACACTCTGTAACACTCAGAGGTTACTAGTAAAATGAAACAAGTTTCCTTCTTTTATGTTCAAAATCATATAACTGTACAATTTTAGAATTTCACAAAAACTCCTAAAGCTACAGCAAAATCACCTCCAAAGACATGTCAAATCTTTTTTTATTACACTGGAAATCTGCTGTACCAAATATAACAGAAAATAAATGTACAACCACTTAGGCTTAAACATATTTTTGTTACATAAATATGTTGTAAAAGGTTTAACCTGCATCCTTGATGTCCCACAGCACATAGGTAGCATTCTTTCAAAACTATCCTTCAAATTATTTGACATTCTATTTCTTTGAACACTATTTCTAAATAAATTAATTAAACAGCAGGTTCCAAATGCAATTCAACAAGCTTTATGTATGACATGGCTTCTGATGTACAAAGCAGTAATATGCACTGCAAGGATTAAAAAACATTTGAAGGTACAAAAATATTGAACACTGTTTGTATTAGAGAAAAAACTGAGGCTGTGCATGGTGGCTCAGGTCTGTAATCCCAGCACTTGGGGAGACCAGGGAGGGAGGATCACTTGAGGTGAGGAATTTGAGACTAGCCTGGGCAACACGGCAAGACCTCACCTCTACAAAAAAAAATTAAAATTAGCTGGGCATGATGGTACAAGCCTGTAGTCTTAGCTACATGAAAGGCTGAAGTGGGAGGATTTCTTGAGGCCAGGAGTTCAAGGCTCCAGTGAGCTATGATCACGCCACTATACTGCAGCCTGGGCAACAGACAGAGAGACCCCATCTCTTGGGAAAAAAAAAAGTGAAATCAACCTAAAATATTTACCAACAGGAGAAGGGCTAAATCACCTGTGAGGAAGTTAAAAAATAAAGAGGCTGAGTGATATACATGTGAATAAAGCTGAGGCCAGATATTGAGTGAAAAAAACAAGTTGCAAAAATATGCATATAACAACATTGATGTTTTTAAAAAGACAATACTGTATGAATAGCTCCGATGGGTAGCATCTTCAGGTTTTGTGACTGAACAAGCTAAGAGTTGAGATGAACTTGCCTGGAGGACGCCAACTATGGCAGGGAGGAAAATGGAATGGGTTTTGAATAGGGCTTAATGTGAATCCTAAATCTCTCTCCACAAGGCTTCCTAAGGCAAGTCTGTAGATCATTTAACAACTTTTAGTAATAAATTTTGATTTCCACTCATTTAAAACTGTAAGGGACAACTTTTAGAATTTTAACTCCAAGTATTTCCAACCCTTAATGGCTTTAAGGAGAAAAATCAACAACAACTACAGAAATATCCTAGAATGTCCTGTTTTAGCAAAACACTAAAACTGAAAACCAAAAACTGCAGGGGGGTTATAACTGGTCCTCTGGTTTCTGTAACAATTCAGATGAGTGTTATGCATAAAGAACATGACCTGGTAAACCGCCACACTATAAGAAACTAAACAAGCCATCCAACACTTCTGTTCAAAATACAAACTCCAAAACTAGCTTAACTCAGAGCTCACAAAAAGGTCAACAGGGCAGAGGCACATAAGTATGAATACAGAAGAGGATAGACTGGGGGGAAGATGGCAGTAGGTCTCTGGACTGTCTTGAGTTTTTCCTATCACATATAAAATGTTTGGATTAAGAAAAAAATCAGGGCCAGATGTGGTAGCTCACACCTGTAATCCCAGCACTTTGGGAGCCTGAGGCAGGTGGATCACATGAGGTCAGGAGTTCAAGACCAGCCTGACCAACATGGTGAAACCCCGTCTCTATTAAAAATATAAAATAAGCCAGGCGTGGTGGCGCATGCCTGTAATCCCAGCTATTTGGGAGGCTGAGGCAGGAGGACTGCTTGAACCTGGGAGATACAGGTTGCAGTGAGCTGAGATCACGCCATTGCACTCCAGCCTGGGCAATGAGAATGAAACTCCGTCTCAAAAAAAGAAAAGAGAAGAGAAGAGAAGAGAGAAGAGAAGATAAAAGATAAGATCAGGCTGGGTACAGAGGTGCATGCCTGTCCCAGCACTTTGGGAGGCCAAGGCAAGAGGATCACATGAGCCCAGGAGTTCAAGACCAGCCTGACTAGTATAGTAAGACTCCATCTTTTAAAAATTGCCAAAAATAGTAGGGTGTGATGGCATGTACCTGTGGTCCCAGCTACTCAGGAGGCTGAGGCAAGAGGATTACTTGAGCCTAGGAGGTTGAGGCTGCAGTAAGCCATGATGGCCCTGCTGCACACTCCAACCTGGGTGACAGAGCAAGACCCTATCCCCTACCAAAAAAAGAAAAAAAAAAAGTGTGATGGAAGAACAAGGTCAGAAGAAGAAAAAAGAAGAAAAAAACCAGGACAATGAAACGATATGAAAACAATAAACAAGACTCTAACTCCTGTCTACAAAAACAAACAAAACCAACCAACCAAACAAGCAAACCTTAATAGTATAAGAAACACAAAAGTAAATACCAGAATAAGCAATTAGAGGAAAATTAGTTTACAAGAGAAAATTAACTATATATTAATTATATTATGGCATTTGTTACAGAGCCTGGAAGTAAATTCATGAAATAATGAGGTTCGAGTAATTTATCTTTTCTTCCTTTTGCTTTTTCAAATTTTGTCAGGTGAGTATGTATGGCTTTTGTAAGATGCTATTTTAGAAAGAACAGGAAGTAGCTGGCCAGGCCGGTGGCTCACGAGGTCAGGAGATCAAGACCATCCTGGCTAACACAGTGAAACCCCGTCTCTACTAAAAATACAAAAAATTAGCCGGGCATGGTGGCGGGCACCTGTAGTCCCAGCTACTCGGGAGGCTGAGGCAGGAGAATGGCGTGAACCCGGGAGGCAGAGCTTGCAGTGAGCAGAGATCGTGCCACTGCACTCCAGCCTGGGCGATAGAGCGAGACTCCGTCTCAAAAACAAAATAAAGAAAGAAAGAAGAGAAAGCAAACATGGATCTTTCCTGAATGTTCTGGAGCTATGGCTCAAGAACTCACAGGAAGTCTGGTAGTTAGGAGAAACATTTACCAAATGTTTATGATGTGCTGGAATAAGAAGCTTCCATTCGCTATAGTCCTTAACCTGGAAAACCACAGCATGAGGTAGCTAAGGAGTGCGACTGCCCCATTTCACAGGTGAGAAAACTGCGGGTTTAGAAGGTTAACCCATTGGCCAAGGTTACCTCACTTGTAATTGGTGTACTAGAATTAAAAGGCAGTCTCTAAACTCAGAGCCCACTTTGTGAACCACATTACCTGTGTTTCTCACACACACCTGATAAGAATCACCTTGAGCACTGGTGAAAAAATCATATTCCCCCTATGCCTTCTGCCAGAGATCCTGGGAATCTGCATGTTTAACAGGCATCCCAGAAATTCTTTTCTCTCTCTCCTTTTGTTTCCTTTTCTTTCCCTCCCCTCAGATCACTTTGGTACATACCAGCAATTCTTACCAGGTGCAGCTTGAGAAACTCTGCCCACCCTCGACTGCCACTCAAACTTTTTATTTAGGATGAAGCCTATTACTACATATAAACTGGCTCTCATTGCAAGATGAGCTATTTAAATGCCAGATACTGCACTCCAAGACAAGCACAAACAAAACCTAGACCATCTATAGTTGAAGCTACTCTTGGCTTTCCAGAGAGAGAGAGAAATTGTCACTTTATAACATAAATCAGGAAAGATTTTTGTGTTGAGGCTGCCATAGTTCTTGAATTTCTCCAGCCCCGACAGTTGCTCTGAGAGTCATATTTTCCCCAGCCAGAACTCAGTGGTGGGGAAAGGAGCAGGGCAATATGTTGAGTGACCACTCTATTTGATTGCTCTCCTTTTTTAAAATACGAGAAAAGGAGACAGAATTTCACATTCCTAAATCAGAGCTTTCCTAGCTCTTAATTATCAATTATTATCAATTATTTGGATTAGTATTTCATATATCCATATATACTGGAAATGTTGGTGCCCAAGGCAAATTGGAGAATTCATGTCCCTCCTAAAGGTATTCAAAGTATTTTTGAAAACCTCTGCACATCAAACAAAATCTGTGGGTTGAATCTGGCCTTCTAACTACAGTTTGCAATTCCTCTGGCCTCGACTTTTCATGTTTCTTTTTTCATAAATATATACATTTATCATATAAAATATATATTTATATATTTCAGGAAGGAGGAGCAAATGTTGAATAAAAAATATCTGATGATAAATGAGTTGGTGTCTGTCAAGCAGGCTCTTTGAAAAAGGAGACTCAGCCAGGCATGGTGGCTCATGTCTGTAATCCCAGGACTTTCGGAGGCCGAGGTGGGTGGATCACTTGAGGCCGGGAGTTCAAGACCAGCCTGGCCAACACGGCAAAAACCCATCTCTACAAAAATACAAAAATTAGCCGGGTGTGATGGAGCACGCTTGTAATCCCAGCTACTTGGGAAGCTGAGGCATAAGAATCGCTTGCAACCCGGGAGGCAGTGGTTGCAGTGAGCCAAGATTGCACCACTGCACTCCAGCCTGGGAGTCAGAGAGAGACCCTGTCTCAAAAACACAAAAAAGAAAGAAAAGAAAACAGAGACTCCCGGATTGGGAAGAACCTAGCAATTGAAATACAAAGCCAGGGAAACTTAAGGAATTTACTTGCACTTCAGTTACCTAATATTAACCATCAATATGCAAATATCATACGTCAGAACCCTAGTGGAGCTATGATTCACAACCTTTCTTCTATTCCAACATAGCTGAGAAAGACATCACACTCTGTGGTTTCCTAAAGCCAAGATGCTCAGGGCAGAAGGAGATGGGGGCCCCATGGCAGGTGGTAAGAACTGCTGATTTAGAACATAAGGACAGTATGTTAGCCCAAGCTGTGTTTGCTCTCATGCCAATTGCTTGCCAGATGAACTGTACACACATTCCATTTATATGGATGACGTGTAACAGGACAATATACAGAATTCCATGCTTGAGCTTTTTCAGGCTGTCACCTCATGGGCTCTGCCTCTATCTTTGCCCCAGTCTTGAGCAGAAATAGTTCGCTTCTGAGTCTGGATAGGCCATAGAGATCTACCATAAAATAGCAGAACACCATGAACTTTTATAATCTGAACATTTTAAAGACCAAGCATTCTAATTGCAGGTGGAAAAACTTAAAAAATTTTTAAATTTAATCAAATCGCTGCAGCACAGAGAAAAGTTATGGTTGATATTAAGAAATAAACTAGATTAACACAAGAGTAGTTCTACAAGGGAATGCATTAGGAGGAGCATATACTTTATCTGGGTAACCCTAGCATCTTTCTATTTTTATAAGCGACCTCTAAAGCAAGAGGTGAGAAACCTATCAATTTTATAGTTGAGAGAAATAAGCCTCACCAAACAGACTCTACTATGCCCTTGAAATAGGTTTTAGAATGCTCCTGAATGTTGTATCAAACAGAACTATAGATGGAAAACTTAAAACTTATATTCACTAAAATATTATGTGGAGCATAATCCTATTTTTATAAAAAATGTGGGCCGGGAGATCATGCCTGTAATCCCAGCACTTTAGAGGTCGAGGCAGATGAATCGCTTGAGGCCAAGAATTTGAGACCAGCCTAGCAACATAGCTAGACCCTGTCTCTATAAAAAAAAATTAAAAGATGAGCTGGACACAGTGGTGTGTGCGTATAGTCCCACCTCCTTGGGATTGCTTGAGCACAGGTATTCGAAGTTGCAGTGAGCTATGATCACACCACCGCAGTCTAGCTAGCTTGAGCAACAAAGTGAAACCCCCTATCTTTTGGGGAAAAAAAAGTGTATATTAGCAAGAAATGAAAAAATATATAAATAAATAAAAGTGCATGCATAGGTTTTATATATAAACCTATGTATGTATATATACTAAGCATTTATATATCTAGAGAGAGGAAGAGGAGGAGCAGGTTCAAAATCTTAACAGAGGAATTATGGTTGATTTTCATCTTCTTTTTTTGTTATCTTTATTTTCCAAGTTGTTTACAATAAACACAAATTGCCTTTGAATGAGGAGGAGGGATATGATATCCTGGTAAAATACTTAAAATATAACATTAGGTGAATAAACAGGCTACAAAACAAAAATAAAATATTTTTACTACTTTTAGAAATATTATGCATAAAGAGGCCAGGTGCGGTGGCTCACGCCTGTAATCCCAGTTTGGGAGGCCAAGGCGGGTGGATCATGAGGTCAGGAGTTCGAGACCAGCCTAGCCAATATGGTGAAACCCCATCTGTACTAAAAATACAAAAACTTAGCCGGGTGTGGTAACACATGCCTATAGTCCCAGCTACTGGGGAGGCTGAGGCAGAAGAATCGCTTGAACCCAGGAGGCAGAGGTTGAGTGAGCCGAGATCGCACCACTGCACTCCAGCCTGGGCGACAGAGCAAGACTCTTGCTCCAAAAAAAAAAAAAAAAAAAAAAAGAAAGAAAAAGAAAAGAAACATTATGCATAAAGAAACCTAGAAGAAAATACGGCCAAATCAACATTTAAAAATTTTGTTGCATGTTATTTCCTTATCAAGTTACTTTCCAGTGAAGAGTCTAATTGGCAAAGATAAGGCATGCTCCTGGGGAAGAAGTCAGATGAAAACATCTAGTTTTGCTTCCCTCTTGTTATATGAATCTCAATCTCATGCTGAGAACAGATGGCAAAAAAAAAAATTGGCACAGAATGCAACTACGGCAGTACAAATATGGTGGTCAGCAGGAAATACATTATTCTTAATTTCAACCTTTTCCTGGAAACAGTGCCTGGAGTGTTATGGAGTAAAAATGGGTGAACAGGTGTAGGAGGATTTTATTTTTGGCAAGGGCTGAAAGCAAAGGAGAAAAATTAGTTTGATTTAAGGAGCCTACTTAATTCTAGAAAAGAAATAAAACAGACTGGGAACACATTGAATAATTTTATATTTCTGTAAATGTTCATATTTTTTGGAAAGGCTATCAATAATATGATATTTTTCTTTTTCTTTTTCTTTTTTTTGAGACAGGGCCTCATTCTGTTGCCCAGGTTGGAGTGCAGTGGCACAAACACAGCTCACTGCAGCCCCAAACTCCTGGACTCAAGTGATTTTCCTGCCTCAGCCTCCCATGTAGCTGGTCCCACAGGCGCGCACCACCATGCCTGGCTAATTAATTTATTTTATTGTTGAGACAGGTTCTTGCCATGTTGCCTAGGCTGAACTCCTGGGCTCAAGTCATCTCGTGCCTTGGCCTCCCAAAGTGCTGGAATTACAGGCATGAGCCACCACACCCAGCCATACGATACTTTTTATTTGGATACCAAATGTCTTCTTAGAACTCTAAACTCAAAATAAACGTGCCATTCTCATGATATGCTAAAAGGAGGTAATAATCATTTCTGGGGAAACAGTATGTGTTATCAGAAATAATATTATTTTGTATAACTTCTCTTGCTTTGGCTTCATTGATTTTAGAGCAGCATCGTCATGTTCTCATAAGCTTTTAAGTATTCTACCCAAGAATCTGCTTCTGAGAGGTTTAAAGTACCCATGTTGTTTTTCTTTATTAAGGATATGTACTAACGCTACACATGAAGCCAATGAAGTCAAACAGGCCCTCCCCAATCTGTCAGTATATTTTTATCTAACAAGTTTTAGTGTTCTTGGATGAATTCATTTTTCTAATCTTCAAAGAATCAAATATCTTTATAGTGTCCCTCAAGTGAGTAAGACTTTATTTCATCATAAGAAAAAATAATACAATTTTAAAAGCTTAAGGTTGCCAGCAAGACACACCCTCAATGTTCATTCTCCACATACAGCTTGCTCTGATTTATGGTGCCAGTACTTTTGGCCACACAATTCACTACACTTTGTTCTCCTGGTTACTGGTGTCAGTGACAGGGCTAGGTCAACTCTTTGGCTAATGTGGCTAGCTCAGTAGATTAGAACCAAATGCAAGTATGGCTCAATTTAAATTAAGGGCCCATTAGTCTCCCTAAAAAAGAGCTTAATTCCATGTCAGAAATCTACTGGAGTGTGAATGGCAGCATACATCATCACTTTCATTCAAAATGTGTGGTCAGCTTGGTCACTGGCCACCTCGTTTCATATTCTACAGAGGAAGACATGTTTGGTTTGGGTAAGGGTTTATTTCCCATGTCTTGCAGATCTGAAGATCTGTACCTAGCTTTCTGTGTAGGTATATCAAATAGCCAGTCCCTGCACTCCCCTCCTGACTTGCTTTATCAATGTTTTCAAAGAATTCAAATCTCTTGCTTCCAAATAGAAGCTTACTGTAAGATGAGCAGTCCCTGTGCACAAAGGAGACAAGGAGACCAGCCTCATGATCGCGTCAGAAGTGGTGGTTTGGCACTATCATCTCTAACCAAATGTGCAGGGCAGGGCAGGTTTGCATCTGCCAGGACACAGATAAGGGAGTATGGCTGGGCTTCCTTCTCCTATCTCAAAATATGGCTCATAACAGCATGGAGATCTTCTCTAGGTAACCAATTTAAATAATCTTTTAATAGTAGAAAACCAGGCCAGTGGTTTAGGAAACAAGTCTGTTTAAGCAAGTATTCCAACAAAGACAAATCTATAAATTTCCAGGTCTGTCTATAAACTATTCATAGTGGCTAAATAAATATCATGCTTTAATAAATACAAATTTCTAGGCAAGGGGTAAAAGTGAAAGGTGTTAATTTAGTGTGTTTAGTTGTCTTCTTGCATTAAAGCTACAGATAAATCATGGAAGATCATAAATGACTATTTTTACTTTTTTTATGCTACACTGACTGACATAAAGATTTTACTACCAAGGATGGCATAAGTACCTACGTAGTAACATAGCCTAATAGATAAAATTACTGTCGGCATGTTTAAAAGGCAAAAATTCTAACCCAAAGTATCTCAGTCATCTCAGTCACTAATCTTTCTGTTATTCAGTTTCTTAATCTTTAAAACAAAGACAGAATGAATATGGCCTACCATTTCCCTTCACTTTCCTATTTTGGTGTTTTCATTCAATTTAACAGATATTCAGCAAAACTACCACACTATGGGTAGTGAGAAGGCTGAGGAGCTCTCATATAAATGCATATGCAGTTATAGGGAAACTAATAACTTTTCCTATTAAGAAGCTTTTGCTTTTTAATTTTTTAAATTTTTTTGAGACAGGGTATGCTCTTGCACATAAGAACGTTTCAATTAGATGAAGAAAATACCTATGGTGGCGAGGAGGGGACATCAGAAGAATATGAGTTAGGGTAGCTGTTCTCAACCCTGGCTGAATATTAGAATTGCTTTGAGAGCTTTTAAACGAGACTAATGAGTTGGTCTCATCCCAGTCTGGTTACCTTAGAATATCTGTGGATGGAGCATCTTTTTTTTTTTTTTTTTGAGACAGAGTCTTGCTCTTGTTGCCCAGGCTGGAGTGCTGCAGCACAATCTCGGCTCATTGCAACCTCCGCCTCCTGGGCTCAAGCGATTCTCCTGCCTCAGCCTCCCGGGTAGCTGGGATTACAGGTGCCTGCCACTACGCCCAGCTAATTTTTATATTTTTAGTAGAGACAGGGTTTTACCATGTTGGCCAGGCTGGTCTCGAACTCCTGACCTCAGGTGATCTGCCCACCTCAGCCTCCCAAAGACATCATTTTTTTCCCTTCTTTTTTGAGACAAGGTCTTGCTGTGTTGCCCAGGCTGAAGTACGGTGGTGCCATCACAGCTCACTGCAGCCTCAACCTCCTGGGCTCAAGCAATCCTCCCACCTCAGCCTCCCAAGTAGCTAAGACCACATGTATATGCCAAAATGCCCAGCTAGTTTTTTGATTTTTTGTAGAGACAGAGTCTCGCTATGTTGCCAGGGCTGGTCTCGAACTCCAGGGCTCAAGTTATGCTCTTGCCTCAGCCTCCCAAAGTGCTGGGGTTGCAGGCATGAGACACCACAACCAGCCCAACATAAGTGTTTTAAAATAAGACAACCATCATTCTGGCTTGTGATGAGACCTTGTCTGTAATGAAGAAAACTTCAGAATTCCTATAAGTCAGTTGCCAAAAGGCTAGAAGCATCATTGATTTCCTGTTAGCAAACATCCATAACAAAGACTAAGTCCTTGCTTTACCCCAGACCAAAACAGAACATCAACTCTATGGAAACCAGCAGAAGAATTTCATAAGAACCAAGGAGCTGACTGACAGCCACCTGACTGGCAGCCACCATTACCAGGTTAAAACTATGTCTGATGATGTTTCTTGACAGCTCTGCGTTCCAAGAATGAGCACATGGCTTCATTACAATCAAGGGGCAACTTAAAGAACAGGTGAGGGATTCTTTCTAAGTATCTTTCTAGGCTAATGGATATTTTATCAAACCTGTCTTATTTCCCTAAATTCTAAACATGCTACTGAGAGAAAAGGCTCTAAAATTATTAACCCATGTACAGACTATTTTGTTTTTGTCATTTCTCTTATAGAAGAACATATATTACTAAAAAAAGTCAGCTTCGTATTGTCTTTTATATTTTGTAAAATGTGGCTCTTTCCTGAGTTTCAACAATGACTGGTTGAATAGAGATGAGTCATTTTAAGAAACTACAGGCGGGGTGTGGTGGCTCATGCCTGTAATCCCAGACTTTGGGAGAACAAGGAGGGTGGATCACAAGGTCAGGAGTTCGATACCAGTCTGGCCAATATGGTAAAACCCCATCTCTACTAAAAATACAAAATTAGCTGGGTGTGGTGGGAAACTACAACCAGATCCTTTCATGCATCAAAGAAAAACCCAAAATAAGTTCTAAACTTCAGCTTTAAAAAGTTAGGCTAGAAGAATCATTTCCTGTCCTCATAGAATCCACTTGCTTGCTGAAAATATTATAGAAATAGAACTTTATTAATGTGAAGGGTAATTTTAATCTCATCAGTTAACATTTGCCAAAATGGAATATGTGCTCGACAGGATTAATAATAGTGGTTTTTAGCCAGCACAGTGGTGCATGCCTGTTGCCCAGCTACTCAGGAGGCAGATGTAGGACAGTCACTTGAGCCCAGGAGTTCAAAGCCAGTCTGGGTAACACAGCAAGAACCTACCTCTAAGAATAATAATAATAATAGATTTTTATTTTTTATTTTGATTTTTTTTGAGATAGGGTCTCGCTCTGTTGTCTAGGCTGGAGTGCAGTGGCGTGAACACAGCTCACCGCAGCCACGACCTACCAGGCTCAAGCAATCCTCCCACCTCAGCCTCTTGAGTAGGCACGTACTACCGTGACCAGCTAATTTTTTAATTTTTTGTAAAAGCAGGATCTCGCCATGTTGCCAAGACTGGTCTTGACCTCCTAGGCTCAAGCATCCTCCTGCCTAGGGCTCCCAAAGTGCTGGGATTACAGGTGTGACCTATCACCCAATAGTGTCTTTTTTTAATCCATTGGTTTGAAATTCTTCACCCTGCCTCCTAAAAGAGACAGAAAGAGGGAAAAACCTGGGTATGTTATTCATAATGCTTCTATTAAAACCAAGGAGCAGCCAGTAGTTTGAGACTAGTCTGAGCAAACATGGTGAAACCTCGTCTCTACAGAAGATATAAAATTAGCTGGGTGTGGTTGTACACACCTGTAGTCCCAGCTGCTTGAGAGGCTGAGGGAGGAGGATTGCATGAGCCCAGGAGGCAGACATTGCAGTGGGCCAAGATTGCGCCATTGCACACCAGCTTGGGCAACAGAGCAGACTGTCTCAACAAAACAAAACAACAACACACACACACACACGCACGCACAAACACACATACACACAGCAACACTTCAAATCTCAAATTATTTTGGGTCACCACCAAAAAATTATATTCTCAACCATGGTCTATGCTGGTTATTCCAATCCTAGTTCAATTTCAAATCATCATAAATATTAAGAATTTGAGCCTTTGTACAAATAAAAACTAGACTCAAAACAAAGATGAGCGCTGCCCTACAGGTCAAATATTTATTCTATGCTATATTTAAATAAGCATAAGGTTAAGGGTTTGCCAAATGGGATTTTAATTTTTTTTTTTTTGAGATGGAGTCTTGCTGGGTCACCCAGGCTGGAGTGCAGTGGCGCTATCTCGGCTCACTGCAACCTCCGCCTCCCGGGTTCAAGCCATTCTCCTGCCTCAGCCTCCAGAGTAGCTGGAATTCAGGTGCGTGCCACCAGGCCCAGCTAATTTTTGTGTTTTTTAGTAGAGACAGGGTTTCGCCATGTTGGCCAGGCTGGTCTCAGAACTCCTGACTTCAGGCCCGCCTTGGCCTCTCAGAGTGCTGGGATAACAGGTGTGAGCCACCGCGCCGGGCGCCAAATGGGATTCAAAAAAAAAAAAAAAAAAAAATTGTGGGCCAGGCACGGTGGCCGACACCTGTAATCCCAGCTACTCGGGAGGCTGAGGCAGGAGAATGGCTTGAACCCGGAAGGCGGAGGTTGCAGTAGGCTGATACCGCGCCACTGCACTCCAGCCTGGGCGACCGAGCAAGAGACTCCGTCTCAAAAATAAAAATAAAGGCCAGGCACGGTGGCTCACACCAGTAATCCCAGCACTTTGGGAGGCCGAAGTGGACAGATCACCTGAGGTCGGGAGTTCGAGACCAGCCTGACCAACATGGAGAAACCCCATGTCTACTAAAAATACAAAAATTAGCTGGGCGTGGTGGCACATGCATGCCTGTGATCCCAGCTGCTTGGGAGGCTGAGGCAGGAGAATCGCTTGAGCCCGGGAGGCGGAGGTTGCAGTGAGCGGAGGTCGCACCACTGCACTCCAGCCTGGGAGACAGCGAGACTCTGTCTCAAAAAAACAATAAAAATAAAAATAAAAATAAAATAAAATGTGCCATTCTATTTCATTATATAAAGATTTATTCAATCACATTGTGTGGATGATATCACAGATGCGAACAGTATTAGGAAGCAAAAAGCAATCCCTTCACCTTTCTTAATACTCAAATAATTTTTTTTTAATTTGCCAAAATGAAATCTAGTAAGTCAAAGGGATCTTATTTCTAAGGACTCTTGGATTATAAACAGAATTTCTAGCGGGGTGATAACTGGGGAGAGTCACTTGGCTCAGTCACTGACCTTCCTTTATCCTTAAATTGAGAGTGGCAATTTCATGACCCTGAATAGTATAAAAAATATGTCCCTCAAACGTATAAGCACCATATGAAGCTAATAGCCTTTGAAGGTCTATATTTACTGTGTCATAGATAAGCTCAACTACAATTCGATTTGATTAAAAAATCAGTACAGTGATACTCTAATCCAAAAAATATCAAATGATTGCTAAAAATAAAGGGGATATTGTAAATGGCATAAATTGCATCAAAATGGGAATGAACACTAAATAATTACAGCTATATATGTTCTAAAAACTAATGACAAAAGAAAGCTGAAAAATCCCCAGTAACTTCTCATTAGATCTTTTCCGTCTCACTCTCTTTCTGGTGTGTGTTTTTTGTTTGTTTGTTTTTTTGTTTTTTGTTTTTAGAAAGACAGGGTTGGGCTGTCACCCAGGGTGGAGTGCAGTGGCATGATCTTGGCTCACTGCAACCTCCATTTCCCAGGCTCAAACCATCCATCCACCTCAGCCTCCCAAGTAGCTGGGACTACAGGCGTGCACCACCATGCCCAGCTAATTTTTGTATTTTGGTAGAGACAGGGTTTTGCCATGTTGCCTAGGCTGGTCTCAAACTCCTGGGCTCAAGTGATCCTCCCACCTCGGCCTCCCAAAGTGCTGGGAGGCATGAGCCACCAGGTCAGGCCCCTTTCCTTTTCTTAACCAAGAAGGTAACATACAAAAACTGCCATGATATATTCAAACACTTATGGATAGGGCTAGCTACCAAAAAGTTTAAGGTTCTTCTGAACTTTTAGGCTTCCTGATTAAAAAGAATTATAAAAAGTTCCTTCAACCTTTCTGAGCTAGGGGTTTAGGCACTATAAGTCTCTAAATGTTTACTCTCTGTTTTTGTACTTATCTTGTCATTACATTAACAGACAGTTCGTGGTATGTGGACCATACTTTGAGAGGCATTGTTCTGTACGGAACATACTTTATTTTCCAGAGTAATTTAAAAAGCCTCCAAGTTCACAGTAATGACCAAAATAGACCAAAGGAACTCAGTGTTTTCTGAAAAAAAGCAGGACTAAATGATTTCAAGATCCTTTTCAGCCCCACAAGTTCTATGATCCTAAAGCTAAAGATGTGATTTGACTGGTAAGTAAAACGCTCATTGCCTAATGATAGGCATTTCTGTCACACCAACAGAGTAGCTAAAAGAGGAAAAGTCATAATAAAAAAAAAGTGGGGGTTGGGGGGAATAAGCTCAGAGAAGAGAAAGAATTTAACTGTGAAGTAGACACGGACAGTGAGGAGATGTAGCTCAGTAAGACAGATAAAACGCCAATAGGCTGAACAACATGGTGAAACCCCATCTGCCCAGCTACTGGGTGGGGGGCTAAGGTGGGAAGATAGCTTGAGTCTGGGAGGTTGAGGTTGCAGTGAGCTGTGATGATAAGGAGGGTGGGAGGAAGGATAGAGAAAACAAACAAACAAACTACTAAAGCAGTTACTTCCACTCAGGGTAGGAGATGCAGTTCTCACAAATTAGCCTCTGAAAATTGGCCATTTTAATAATTAAGCCTAAGTCATGAAAGAAAGGTTAAATTATCTTTAAGAACCTTGTTTACCAAAGCAAAGAAGTATGTAATACATAAAAGACTTATATCACAAAGATTACATAGCATTCAAAAAAGACTCCTAGATTCATTATTTCAGAATCTTTATTATACAGTATTAGTTTTATGTTACTTACAAAATGCTAATGTATGGTATGAATGGCATTAATCCAATTCTAGGCTTCTAGTAGGAGCTCAATAAACTGCTACTACCATGTATTTTATTCTTTAACTGCAGAAGCCTCCATGTTCTCATATCTAAAAGATAATTCTGGCCAGGCCCAGTGGCTCATGCCTGTCATCCCAGCACTTTGGGAAGCCGAGGCAGGCGGATCACTTGAGGTGAGGAGTTTGAGACCAGCCTGGCCAACATGGTGAAACCCTGTCTCTACTAAAAATACAAAAATTAGCTGGACATGGTGGCAGGCACCTGTAATCCCAGCTATTCCAGAGGTTGAGGCACAAGAAATTGCTTGAACCTGGGAGGCGTAGGTTGCAATGAGCCAACATCACGCCACTGCACTTCAGCCTGGTGATAGAGCAAGATTCTGTCTCAAAAAAAATAAAAAATAATTCCTATTGTATCTATCCCACAAGTTTATTTTTAGAGGAATAAAATAATGTGGTCAGTTAAAATATGATTCATCCATAAAATAAAATATTATAACCTACTAAAAAGTATTAAGAGCTGGGTACAGTGGCACACACCTGAAATCCCAGCTATTCAGGAGCCCGAAGCAGGGGGATCACTTCAGCCCAGGAGTTCAAGACCAGCTTGAACAACATAGCAAAACCTCATTTCAAAAAGAAAAAAAATCAAAAAAAGCATTATGTAAATTTTATGTTATGAATATGAAAAATATCCTTACACATATTGTTTAGTATAAGGTACAAATAGCATATATAGTATGATCTCAATGACAGAATATTATTCAGGGGTAGTAATAAATGTGCCTATCTGTCTATGACCATAGACAGATTATGATCAAAGAAAGGAGGATTAAACTAACATTTCGAATCATAATTGACGACACCAAAAAGATTCATTCAAAACATGTATCAAGAAAATTTAGAGGAGATACTGTTTCTCAGTTGTAAATAATGCCAGAAAAACTCATAAGGCTACAAGAGACAGAGATCCAAAGCTACATTTGCTAAAAAGAAATTTGTGTCACTGTCAACATAGTAAGAAAGACGCTTACTCTCAACAAACACACATTCTAGATCCTGTAGTATAAGAACGGCCGGCCGGGCGCGGTGGCTCATGCCTATAATCCCAGCACTTTGGGAGGCCGAGGCAGGTAGATCACGAGGTCAGGAGATCAAGACCATCCTGGCTAACACAGTGAAACCTCGTCTCTACTAAAAATACAAAAAAATTAGCCAGGTGTGGTGGCGGATGCCTGTAGTCCCAGCTACTAGGGAGGCTGAGGCAGGAGAATGGCGTGAATGCGGGAGGCAGAGGCTGCAATGAGTCGAGATGGGCCACTGCACTCCTGCACTCCAGCCTGGGCAACAGAGCAAGACTCCGTCTCAAAAAAAAAAAAAGAACTGCCACTCAGGTGTGGACCTGGGCCCTCAGCATCATCAGCATTACCTGGGACCTAGTTAGAAATGGAGAATCTTCTCTACCATGTGAATCATGCTTTTTTTTTTTTAAAGGAATAATATAAACGAACAAAAAAGAAATGCCAAAAAAAAATTGCAAACTCTCAGGACCACCCCCCTCCCCAGCAACCACTACATCAGACTCTATGTCTACATATTACTTTATTATGTATTTTATTTTTGAGACGGAGTCTCACTCTGTCGCCCACACTGGAGTGCAGGGGAGTGATCTCAGCTCATTGCAACCTCTGCCTCCCGGATTCAAATGATTCTTGTGCTTCAGCTTCTGAGTAGCTGGGATTACAGGTGCCTGCCACCATGTCCAGCTACTTTTTATATTTTTAGTAGAGATGGGGTTTCACCATTTTGGCCAGGCTGGTCTTCAACTTCTGGCCTCCAGTAATCCACTCACCTTGGCCTCCCAAAGTGCTGGGATTACAGGCGTGAGCCACCGCGCCTGGCCTACATTTTTTTTTTTTAATAGACAAGATCTCTGTCGTCAGGCTGAGTGCAGCAGCATGATGATAGCTCACTGCAAACTTGAACTTCTGGGCTCAACTGATCCTCCTGCCTCAGCTTCCCAAAGTGCTGAGACTACAGGCATAAGCTACCACGCCCAGCCTTACTCTACATTTTAACAAAACCTCCAGGTGGTACGCACATTAAAGTTTAAGAAGAGCTGCTACAAAGCCCAAAGAGAATTAAGAGGGAGGAATACGCACAGGTGCAACAATGGACTTTTCCCAATTGATGCAACAGAGATATCTTCTGGTTTGGATGACAATCACATGGACAAGAAGTTACAATGATCTTTCCACCACTGTCTAGAAAGTATTTTTCTTGGTAACTAGAAGAAAGCTAGAGTATTTCTAGAAAGTATCTAGGTATAGGTTTAAACACATAAAAGTAGCAAAAGAGTCAGGGGCAGTAGCATGCACCTATAGTCCCAGCTACTTGGGAGGCTGGGGCAGGAGGATCGCTTGAGGCCAGGAGTCTGGGGCTGCAGTGTGCAATGATTGTACCTGTGAATAGCCACTGCACTCTAGCCTGGGCAACAGAGTGAGACCCTGTCTCTAAGTAAATAAATGAATAAAATGTATAAAGTAGCAAAATACTATTCTTACCATTCACAAATTTTTCCATCATCAAAGAAGTTATATATCAAAAGGGTTTCCATTGGAAGCATCCATCATCCCAAGAATAAAGTTTTCCTTGAGGGGCAGTTCTCAAGAACTAAGTACCTTGATCTTATATCTCTAACAAAGTGAAAAAATAAAACAGAAATATAGAGAAAGGAAAGTATTAAAATATATACCAGAAAATGTATCATTAAGATGCACTTTTGCAAAAATGTTTTAAATTCAATCTAGGGAAATAAATTATACCTGATCCCATATATCTCTAGCAAAAATAACCAACAACATTATTTCTGTTAAAGGTAAGATTGGCCGGGGGCGGTGGCTCACGCCTGTAATTCCAGCACTTTGGGAGGCTGAGGCAGGTGGATCACCTGAGGTCAGGAGTTCGAGACCAGCCTGGCCAACATGGTGAAACCCCATCTCTACTAAAAATATAAAAATTAGCCAGGCATGGTGGCGCATGCCTATAATCCCAGTTACTTGGGAGGCTGAGGCAGGAGAATCGCTTGAACCCAGGAGGCACAGGTTGCAGTGAGCTGAGATCGCGCCATTGCACTCCAGCCTGGTGAACAAGAGAGAAACTCCGTCTCAAAAAAAAAAAAAAAAGGTAAGATCAAAACAGTATTATTAGTCAACTACATTAATAAAGACAAGGATCTAATTTTTTCCAGCTTTTAAAAACCTGAAAGATAATGTCTGTTCATCCGCGACAATACACGATTTTAGAATGGAACACACCAACAAAAACTTGAGGGACCCAATACTTGAATTATAACAGGTATTTTAACCACAAAGCTCTTCTCCCATCCATATTTTCTTCATTATTATATGTCATATGTCAGTTGCTATTCTGGGTGTGTTACCCCATTTATCTCATTTAGTCTTCTTATTTACCCTTTTTTTTCAGACAGAGTCTCACTCTGTCGCCCAGGCTTGAGTGCAGTGGTGCAATCACAGCCTCAACCTCTAGGCTCAAGCGATCCTCCCACCTCAGCCTCCCAAGTAGCTGGGACTACAGGTGCATGACACCACACCTGGCTAATTTTCTAATTTTATTTTTGTAGAGATAGGGTCTCACTACATTGCCCAGGCTTGCTTTGCATTCCTGGGGTCAAGCAATCCTCCCACCTCAGCCTCCCAAATGCTAAGATTACAGGTGTGAGTCAACATACCCGGCCCTTATTTACCCTTGAAGGGGGGCATTTTATAACCAAGAAATTGAAATTCTGATAGGTGGTAGAACTGAACTAACAGCTGGCGAGATGTGTCAATGCCAAAGCCTACAGTCTTAACCACTAGGCTCACTCTGTGTTCATAAGGATCCCCTGAAGGACCCTGCATTTTAAAGTCCCAGGTTATTTGTCACTGACTCCATATACCATCCTCCTTTAAATCCCACAGGGCACAATATTCTGTATGGCCCTGAATGTTAACGTGTATTCCAAAAACAACAAAAAACTCTACAATATAGTACTTTACATACATTTAAAAACCAGTCATGTGCAAGATATATACTTATTTTTTGTGTAAGTACCTGCTTAACTCCAGAAGCAGGAAGAAGGACATTGAAGCACCAAATAGAACTACTTGGAGAAAGATGAAATAAACCGGTAGGATCAGAATTTGGGAGCACTCTTCTAGTTAACACTATAGGTTCCCAATTACAATGTATGTAGGAATTGTCAAACAGACTTGCAACCAGAGGGCCTTTGAATTCATTACAAGTCCTCTGTCTCTATTGCTGTGATACTTAAGTATCTATCTGTACTCAATGGGACTGTGCTTATGTACACAACTGTATATATCTGTTTGAAAAGATTTCCGTTTCAGTTGTTTCAAAGCTGTCCCCATTGATCTGCTAACAGAGCTGAAGCTGCCCTGGGTGATATCCTTGCTTTTTGTTTTCTTTTGTTTTTCTAACATGTTAAGTTTCTAAGTACTTCATACTTTAATATTCTCAAAAATACCACCTTCATCACCTGGTGGACTAT
Source organism: Homo sapiens (assembly GCF_000001405.40). NCBI lineage: Eukaryota > Metazoa > Chordata > Mammalia > Primates > Hominidae > Homo > Homo sapiens. The sequence continues at coordinate 112,362,386 of NC_000012.12, forward strand.
TGCCTTATGGAAGTCAATATTCTCCAGAGTGAACAGTAAGGGCTCTGTGGAAGCCAACCTGCAGGCCTCCTCTATGGGAACACAAGGAAGCTATGGAGACTGCAGTGGAGTGATGGGAGGGAGGGGAGCACATCAGGAGACCAGGTCAGAGAGGAATCTGCCTACGCATCACTCATACGTGCACTCACTACCTCTGGGGAGCATCTAAGTAACTACTAATACTGGCTGCTGCTGGGAAGTTGGTGGTGGTGGAGGCAGGTGGGGAGCGTTATGTTAGCAAGGAGACATTTCCCTGTATTCTCTCTTGAACTAATTCTAAAATTTTTTTTTTTTTTTGAGATGGGGTCTCATTCTGTCAACCAGGCTGGAGTGCACTGGCAAAATCAGCTCACTGCAGCCTCAAACTTCCAGGCTCAATCAGTCCTCCTGCCTGAGCCTCTAGAGTAGCAGGGACTACAGGCACACATCACCATGCCCGGCTAATTTTTGTATATTTAGTAGAGACGGGGTTCCACCATGTTTGCCAGGCTGGTCTCGAATTCCCGACCTCATGTGGTCCAACTGTCTGGGCCTCCCCAAGTACTGGGATTACAGGCATGAGCCACTGCGCCCAGCCTCCCTTATGCTTTTCTACATCTTCTAAATTTTCAAAAATTCCTCTAACATTTTAATTTTTTTAAATTTTAAGCATTTTGTAATGTTTTAAATAAATTATAATCAATAGTTTTATTACGCTAATCAGTAATTAGATTATATTAAATCTTAAAACTTCTGTAACAGTTCCATTCTTTTTTAATTTTTTAAAATTTATATATAACATGTAATATGTATTCATGTGTATATAAAATTTATATATGTGTGTATACACACAAGCATACACACACTCTCTCTCTCTCTCTTATATATAAAGATGAGGTCTTGTTGTGTTGCCCAGGCTGGTCTCCTGAGCTCAAGCAATCCTCCCATCTCGGCCTCCCAGAGTGCTGGGATTACAGGCATGAGCCACCTTGTCCGGCCCAGTTTTCAAGGTACTGCTACTCAATAAAAGTGGCTTAATGGACATAGAATAGGTTTACTAAAAACCTAAAAATGTGCAAAATAAATAGAATAGTGCTCAAGTTCACTACTTGATCATAGAACAACTAAGTTAAGCAAAAAATTCATTCAAAGTCATTAATATTTTTAGAACGATGATCAAAGCAACATATTTTCAATTAACTCCATCTAACTAGCTATTTTCAGAAATCTCTCTGGAATTCATTATTCTCTACATAAAATGCACTATGCTCTATACAAAAATCAAAGGTCAGGCCAGGTACAGTGGCTCAGGCCTGTAATCCCAGCACTTTGGGAGGCCGAGGCAGGTGGATCACGAGGTCAGGAGTTCAAGACCAGCCTGGGCAACATGGTGAAACCCCATCTCTACTAAAAATAAAAAAATTAACCAGGCAGTGGTGGCGTGCGCCTGCAATCCTAGCTACTCAGGAGGCTGAGGCAGGAGAATTGCTTGAACCTGGGAGGTAGAGGTTGCAGTGAGCAGAGGTTGCAGTAAGCCGAGATCGTACCCCTGCACTCCAGCCTGGATGACAGAGCAAGACTCAATCTCCAAAAAAAAAAAAAAAAAAAAAAAAATCAAAGGTCGTGACCCCACATTACTTATCTAGGTTCCAATATTAAAAATATTAATAATATTACAACTGTTGAGAAGTGTTTCCTTCTTATCTAAAATGCAAAATGGGCTGGGCACGGTGGCTCACGCCTGTAATCCCAGCAGTTTGGGAGGCTAAGACAGGTGAATCACCTGAGGTCAGGAGTTCGAGACCAGCCTGGCCAACATATAGTAAAACCCCATCTCTACAAAAAATACAAAAATTAGCTGGACATAGTGCCACACATCTGTAGTCCCAGATACTTGGGAAGCTGAGGCAGGAGAATCACTTGAACCTGGGAGGCGGAGCTTGCAGTGAGCCGAGATTACGCCACTGCACTCCAGCCTGGGTGACAGAGCAAGACTCTCTCTCTCAAAAAAAAAAAAAAATAAATAAATAAAAGGCAAAATGTATGCCAGGAGCAGCAGCTCAGGCTTGTAATGCCAGCACCCTGGAAGGCCAAGGCAGATAGATAGCTTCAGCCCAGGAGTTTGAGACCAGCCTGAACAACATGATGAAACCCCATCTCTACAAAAACACAAAAATTAGCCAGCCGTGGTGGCATGGGCCTGTAGCCCCAGCTACTCTAGAGGCTGAGGCACTTGAATCAATTGAGCCCGGGAGGTCCAGACTGCAGTGAGCCGTGACTGCGCGCCACTGCCCTCCAGCCATGGACAACAAAGCGAGACCCTGTCTCAATAAAAAAATAAAAATTTTAAAAATAAAAAGTGTAACTGCAATTAAAATTCCTAGAGTCTCATGTGAACTACTTTAGTTCATCAAAAATAACTACCTATTCTTATTTTATTCTCCATTAGTGAATTTTTCCTGACCTGTGTCCTCAACTTATGATCTTATTTGATCACAGAGCCCTAGAAGGCTTGTGGGGCATAAGATCTTGTCACAACTACTCAATTCTGCTTTGTAGCATGAAGGCAGACAATATGTAAACAAATAGGCTGATTATGTTCCAATAAAACTTTATTTATGAAAACAGCTAGTTGGCTGGATATGACCCTGAAAGCCAGTTTACTGACCTCTATCTAAAAAGCGTTATCTAACAGAAATACATAAAACACATATGTAATTTAATATTTTCCAGAAGCCATGTTAAAAAAGGTAAAAATAAACAGATAAAATTAATTCTAGTATTTTTAATTTAAATATATTTTACTTAACCCATTATATATACAAATCATCATTTCAACATTTAATCAATATGGATTATTACTAGCCGGGTGTGGTGGCATATGCCTATAGTCCTAGCTGCTGGGGAGGCTGAGCCCAGGAGTTCAAGGTTACAGTGAGCTACGATAGTGCCACTGCACTCTGGCCTAGGTGACAGAGTGAGACCCTGTCTCTAAAAATGTAAATTAAAATTAAAAATAAAATATTACCACTGAGTTCTTTTAAAATTTTTTTTGCATGAAGCCTTCACAAATCTGATGTGTATTATACTTTCAGCACATTTCACTTCTGACCAGCCACATTCAACTGCTCAATAGCCACATGTGGGTGGTGGCTACCAACTGGACAGTGCAGTTCTGGAGGCTATTTAAGTAAAACTCCTGAACCTTGACAATACTAATGTAAAACAACAATCTGAACAACAAAAGAAACTGCAGGCATATAATTGTACTCTATAAGTGGACAGAAGCAAAAATGCATTTAGATTTTAAAAACAATGTTTCTCTTGGGATAGCAACTGTTACTGCTGCTTCTTTGTGTTTTTTTTTTGTTTTTTTTTTTTTTTTTGAGACAGGGTCTCCCTGTGTTGCCCAGGCTGGAGTGCAGTGGAGCGATCTCGGCTGATTCACTGCAACCTCTGCCTTCTGGGCTCAAGTGATCCTCCCACCTCAGCCTCCCGAGTACCTGGGACTTGGGTGTATACCACCACGCCCAGCTAATTTTTTGTATTTTTAGTAGAGACCGGGTTTCACCATGTTGCCCGGGCTGGTCTCAAACCCCTGGGCTCAGGCGATCCACCCGCCTCAGCCTCCCAAAGTGCTGGGATTATAGGCAACAGTTACCGTTTGAGGTTACCTGTTTAAAATGATTAGCAGTATAAGATACCAATACTAACAAAATTTTATTAAATTTTATTCGCATACTTTCAGCTGACCAACATTCTCCCTCAGACAAGAGGGGAAAAACCCAAAATACCTGGTGAACAAAAAAAAATTGTTCCATTTTGGCAGAGCACAGTGGCTCACATCTAATCCCAGCACTTTGGGAGGCCAAGGTGGGTAGACAACTTGAGCTCAGGAGTTCAAGACAAGCCTGGGCAACGTAGTGAGACCCCCATGTCTACAAAAAAATTTTTTTTAAATAAAAAATTAGTAAGGCATGGTGGTGTGAGCCTATAGTCCCAGCTACTTGGGAAGCTGAGATGGCGGGATTGCTTGAGCTCAGGAAATTGAGGTGGCAGTGAGCTATGATTATGCTGCTGTACTCAGCCTGGACAACAAAGTGAGACCGTGTCTCTTAAAAAAGACATTGTTCTTTTTTGAAAAAATTGCCTGTTGCTGGGCGCAACATTCTTAATTATTTCAACATTAAAAAAAAGAAGAAGAAAAAAAAGAGCGCCTGTAATTCCAGCACTTTGGGAACCCAAGGTGGGCAGATCACCTGAGGTCAGGAGTTAGAGACCAGCCTGGCCAACATGGTGAAACCCCATCTCTACTAAAAATACAAAAATTAGCCAGACATGGTGATGGGCACCTGTAATACCAGCTACTTGGAGGCTAAGGCAGGAGAATCGCTTGAACCCAGGAGGCGGAGGTTGCAGTGAGCTGAGATCGCGCCATTGCACTTCAGCCTGGGCAACAAGAGTGAAACTCTGTCTCAAAAAAAAAAAAAAAAGAAAGAAAAAGAAAAAGAAAAAATTGCTTGTTACTATTTTTTTTTTGTATCGTACATGTGGGTACACTGCCAATACTACTTGGGTTTGTTGACTGCCTTCAGAGGGAGAAAATGCTAAATTTTGGCTGGGTGTAGTGGCTCACGCATGTAATCCCAGCACTTTGGGAAGCCGAGGCAAGCAGATTACTTGAGGTCAGGAGTACGAGACCCGTCTGGCCAACATGGTGAAACCCCATCTCCACCAAAAATACAAAAATTAGCCAGGTGTGGTGGCGCACACCTGTAATCCCAGTTTCTTGGGAGGCTGAGGCAGAATCACTTGAACCGGGGAGGTAGAGGTTGCAGTGAGCCGAGATTGTGCCACTGCACTCCAGCCTGGGTGACAGAGTAAGACTTGGTCTCAAAAAAAAAAAGAAAGAAAGAAAGAAAGAAAGAAAGAAAGAAAGAAAGAAAACAAAACAAAAGGCTGAATTTCAGCTAAAGGTATGTGAAAATAAAGATACATATTTTCTTTCCCATCCAAGGTCACAGATGCCATGAATTCTATTCATGGATCCCATGCATCTCTGAATCCTATTTAGGTTCAGAACCCCTGAGGGAAAGGAAAGTTTATTTATAAACTCAACTGAAAAAATGCTTCCGGCAGGGCCCAGTGGCTCACGCCTGTAATTCCAGCACTTTGGGAGGTGGAGGTGGGTGGATCATCTGAGGTCAGGAGTTCAAGACCAGCCTGGCCAACATGGTGAAACCCCATCTCTAATAAAAATACAAAAATTTAGCTGGGTGTGGTGGCATGCACCTGTAATCCCAGTTACTTGGGAGGCTGAGGCAGGAGAATCGCTTGAACCCGGGAGGCAGAGGTTGCAGTGAGCCAAGATCTTGCCATTGCACTCCAGCCTGGGCAACAGAGGGAGACTCCATCTCAAAAAAAAAAAAAAAAAAAAAAAAAAAACGCTAACACGTCATAGAGATAGAAGGTCCAGATTTTCTACTCTGCCCCATAAATAGCTACATCTATTGTATTAGACTTTACACAGTAGAAATCATAACACAAACTACAGAGCACAAAGCAAATATAGTAAACATTGAAAAGATCCATTACAAATACAAACTGAATGTTAATATTTTGTTAGTATAAAACCACTACTTGAATGCCGAATCTGTAGTTATTAGCATTACTAAACCTACAATTTGCATAAAATACTTTGCAAATTATGCATCTTATTGTTAATCTAAAATTGCTACACACTGTGCTCTGACCTAGTAATTCAGCCAACTGCAGGTTTTAGTAAAAGCGCTAGGGATCCAAATGTGTCCACTCCAAAGTGTCCCATCATGGAACATTAATTATTCACCAAATGTGCTTAATAGCACTTTCTAAACTACAAGCTCCATGCAAATATTCAACATTATTGGGAGAGGATTCATACAGCACTATTAAAATCCCTCGAAATTATAAAGTAGTAACAGTAATAAGTCACAGAAACACTTTAAAAATCACTACAAATTTATAATTTACCAAACTATCAAACAGATAACACTTTAAATACTGAAAATTATTTCGCTTCCTATAAATTGATATTATCTTTAAATAGTAGATTATCTTTAAAATAGCAGATTTAAAGAAACAGCAGAAGACAATTATAGTATATCCACAAATTACTATGCAGACATTAAAAATTATATCTTTAAATCTTATTCAAAATGTTCCCAGTAAGTAATCACAGGATCCAAAACTGCAAATAGCATATAATCCCAATTTTATCTATATAAAAATATGAGCTGAAGAAGCAAATAATAAAAAATTAATTTCGTTCTGGTGGAATGGTGTAATCCCAGGGTATTTATTGTCTCTCTTATACTTTTAGATGTTTTCTCTATTTTCAACAACATCCCTGTATTATTTACTTATAATCAAAAAGGTTTTACATAGCATAAAAATACAATCCACTTAATATAGGTATTTTTCACATAGGTAAAAAAAATGTGGAATCACTCATGTTATTAGCATGTAAGAGAGAAAATTTTCAGGGGCTCTAAGTCCAAATAATCTCCCTCACAACTGCTGTGCATTCTGAGCACACTTCGGGAGCCAATGCTTCTCTTCCCGGTATGTGCAGCTCCCTCGCTCTCCTGGTCTCTGGCACTATCCACAAACCATCACGGAGTAAGGAGTCATTGTTTCCCTCCTGCCTATATATAGACATGGTCTCTGTATTAACCGGATTACTGACCAAAATGAGCCTATGCCGGGACAAGAAGGCTATCAAGCCACAAGAGAGGTGCTCTGAAGTGAACTCATAAGAGCTGGATGGCACTGACAGAAAACTCTGGCTTCTTTGGCTGACCAGGGTTCAGCGTGCATTTCTAGGTACCCAATTACATCCATTGGATGCATCTTTTGGAGCGAAAGTTATTGCCTTATTAAGCAAACCTAGGATTTCTTTTTTTTTTTTTTTTTTTGAGACAGAGTCTCGCTCTGTCATCCAGACTGAAGTGCAGTGGTGTGATCTTGGCTCACTACAACCTCCGCCTCTGAGGTGCAAACAATTCTCCTGCCTCAGCCTCCCAAGTAGCTGGGATTACAGGCACCCACCACCACGCCCAGCTAATTTTTAAAACATTTTTTGTAGAGATGGGGTTTTCCCATGTTGGCCAGGCTGGACTCGAACTCCTGACCTCAAGTGATCCACCTGCCTCAGCCTTCCAAAATGCTGGGATTACAGTGTGAGCCACCTCACCCAGCCAAATTAAGCAAACCTATGAGTTCTAAAATGGCCTCTGAGAGGGTGTGCGGAAAAGAGGTCCTATCAAACACTAATACCGGGACTATAATTGGTAATCACACAGGAGGGCAATTTGGTAGTATCTATTAAAATTAATTTGTCACCAATGACCCAGCAATTCCACTTACCCTAGCGAAATAATCTCAGGTGTGCATGAGCAGGCATGCAAGAATCTGTACTGAAGGACTGTTTTTAAGAGTGAAAAACTGAAAACAACCAAAATACCCATCGTGCTCAACTGAATAATGGCGTCCACCAAAATGTCCACCTACTAATCCTTGGAACCTGTAAATGTGACCTTAGATGGCAAAAGGGACTTTGCAGATGTGATTAAGTTAAAGATCTTGAGATGGAGGGATTATCCTGTATTATCTGGGTGGGCCCTAAATGTACTCACAAGGGTGCTTATAAAAGGGATGTGGGAAGAGTGGGTCAGAGGAGAAGGCGATGTGATGACAGATGAGAGACTGCAGTAACATACTCTGAAGATGGAGGAAACAGCAACAAGCCAAGAAATACAAGTGGCCACAAGAAGCTGTGGAAAAGGCATGGGAACAGATTCTCCCCTAGAGCCTGCAGAAGGAACCAGACCTACCAATGCTTGACTTTTAGCCCAGTGAGACTCATTTCAAACTTTTGACTTCCAAAAATGTGAGAATAAATCCATGTTGCCTTAAGCCACGAAATTTGTGATAATCTGTTAACATGGCAACAGGAAACTAAGATACTCATCAATAGGGAATGTCTAAATAAAACTGTGGCATTTCTAGAGTCTTGTGCAGCACTTAAAAATAATGTGGTAGATATATATATGGAGACACAGAATGATCAAAACATATCCTTGAGTTTAAAAAGAAAGCAAGTTACAGAAAGATATGTCTAGTATGACATCTTTATGTAAAAAAGAAAAAAATAGAATGTGTTATATACACACCAAAATTTTAAAATGGTCTTGAAGAATATACACGAAAAAATTTTCACTAATTTAGCCAGGGCAAGAAGGACACAGAGATCCAAATTAGAGATGGTGCTTAAAAGGGACTTCAGTTTTACCTGTTATTTCCGTTTTGTCAAGAATGTATTCATGTACTACTCATAGTTTTTTTTTTAATTAATAGATACATAAGCTGTGCTTAAAATACAGGATCAAAATAAAAGTTACACAATTTCTGCAATTTCTCTCCTATGCATTTGTCCCATAGTTGATCACCTGCTGTTATTTACATTTGTCTACAACTATTGACTAAACATCTTGTAAAGCAGACTACACTCCTTGTGTTCACCCCACAACCACTGTTGTAAAACAAGAGGGAAAGGTGGGGAGGGGAAAGCATGGGGCACTTTCGGCAATTGACAGTACTTTCATAATTAACACCACAGTTACCTTCAGACCTAGGAAAGAAGAGATGTATGACCACCCACCCAGCAGCTCGAGCCAACAGGTAGTATTTTATGACAGTAAAGATGGAAGCCAAGAAGACAGATAATAATCAAAGCTGATTTATTTAGCAAGACCTTAGGTATACAATTGGAGAAAAACTGAAACAGAGACTATCTATTATCTCATCTGCCTAGCCACACTGCAAACAAATTGAGAAGGAAGAAAATTCCAGCCAGGCGCGGTGGTTCACACCTGTAATCCCAGCACTCTGGAAGGCCGAGGTGGGTGGAGCACCTGAGGTCAGGAGTTCAAGAGCAGCCTGACCAACGTAGTGAAACCCCATCTCTTCTAAAAATACAAAGCTAGCTGGGCATGGTGGCACATGCCTGTAATCTCAGCTACTTGGGAGGCCGAGGCAGAAGAATAGCTTGAACCCAAGAGGCGGAGGTTTTAGTGAGCCGAGATCACGCCATTGCACTCCAGCCTGGGCAACAAAAGAGAAACTCCATCTCAAAAAGAAAAAAAAAGGAAAGAAAATTCCAGCCAGGTACAGTGGCTTGTACCTGTAATCCCAGCACTTTGGGAGGCCAAGGCAAGCGAGTCATCTGAGGTCAGGAGTTCGAGACCAGCCTGACCAACATGGAGAAACCCCGTCTCTACTAAAACTACAAAATGAGCTGGGCGTGGAGGCGGGCGCCTGTAATCCCAGCTACTTGGAAGGCTGAGGCAGGAGAATCGCTTAAACCCGGGAGGCGGAGGTTGCGGTAAGCCGAGATTGTGCCGTTGCACTCCAGACTGGGCAACAAGAGTGAAACTCTGTCTCAAAAAAAAAAAAAAAAAAAAAGAAAAAAGAAAATTCCGCAGGGATCACCAACCAAACAAACAAACAAAAAACGATTCCACTACTATAGAAAAAATTATGTTGATGGGATAGTTTTGCTTTCAAATACAATAGGCAGCTGGCTGAATATGCATAAAATAACCTCCAAGCAACATAGCACCTTATAAAGAGAGTCAATACACTTTAAACATAATCACATCTTTTTTTTTTTTTTTTTAATATTTTGGTGTCAGGGAATCACTCTGTCATGCAGGCTGGAGTACAGTGGCACAATCATAGCTTACTGCCTCTTCCAGCTCCTGGACTCAAGTGATCCTCCCACCTCAGCCTCCCAAGTAGCCAACCACGCCCCGCTAATTTTTTTTATTTTTTTAAGATGGAGTCTCGCTTTGTCGCCCAGTCTGGAGTGCAGTGGCGCAATCTCGGCTCACTGCAAGCTCCGCCTCCTGGGTTCACGCCGTTCTCCTGCCTCAGCCTCCCGAGTAGCTGGGACTACAGGTGCCCGCCACCATGCCCGGCTAATTTTTTGTATTTTTTTAGTAGAGACGGGGTTTCACCGTGTTAGCGAAGATGGTCTCGATCTCCTGACCTCGTGATCCGCCCACCTGACCTCGTGTGATCCGCCCACCTCTGCCTCCCAAAGTGCTGGGATTACAGGCATGAGCCACTGCACCTGGCCCATGTCTAGCTAATTTTAAAATGTTTTGTAGAGATGGGATCTTGCTATGTTGCCCAGGCTGGTCTTGAACTCCTGGCCTCAAGCAATTCTCCTGCTTTGGCCTCTCAAGTGCTGGAATTACAGGCATGAGCCACCACACTCAGCCCACATCCATCTTATTATTATTATTGTTATTTTTGTTTGGTTTTTTTGAGACAGGGTCTGGCTCTGTCACCCAGGCTGGAGTACAGTGACAGTCTTCGCCTACTACAACCTTTGCCTCCTAGGCTCAAGTAATTTTTCAGCCTCAGCCTCCTGAGTAGCTGGGACTACAAGTGCATGCCACCACGCCCAGCTAATTTTATTGTATTTGTTTGTAGGGAGAGAGTTTTGCCATGTTGTCCAGGCTGGTCTTGAACTCCAGTCCACTCCTTGCCCTCCCATAGTGCTGAGATTACAGGCATGAGACACCATATCTGGCCACCTCCATCTTTTTAATTCTGACATTAGCCCTATCATTATCCCACTCTTTTAGATGATGATAGTATAACATAATAGTTCAAGAATATGGACTCAGGGCTGGAATCAGACAGACCTATTTCAGTCTTAGCTTTGCCACTAACTATCTTACCTTTGTCAAGTTACTTAACTTTTGTCTGTGCCAGTTTCCTCATTTATAAAATAAAGATAATCCTTGGCCAGGCACGGTGGCTGACGCCTGAAATTCCAACACTTGGGAGGCCAAGGAGGGTGGATCACTTGAGGTCAGGAGTTAGCCTGGCCAACATGGTGAAACCCCGTCTCTACTAAAAATACAAAAAATAGCCAGGTGTGGTGGCACGGGAGTTACTCGGGAGGCTGAGGCAGAAGAATCACTTGAACCCAGGAGGCGGAGGTTGCAGTGAGCCGAGATCACGCCACTGCACTCCAGCCTGGGCGACAAAGTAAGACTCCATTTCAAAACAAACAAAACAAAACAAAAATAATAAAAGTAAAGATAATCCAGTACCAACCTCATGTTTTTTGTGAGGATCAAATAAAATAATGGATGTGAAGTACTTAGCACAGAACATACCACTCAATATGCTGGCGCTGTTGTCGTGGGAGTGGTAGAGATAGTGACAATGATGACTAAGAAGATGCACCAGAAGATAACTAGGGGCTGAGCGCAGTGGCTCACACATATAATCCCAGCACTTTGGGAGGCTGAGGTGGGCAGATCACCAGAGGTCAGGAGTTCCAGACCAGCCTGGCCAACATTGTGAAACCCTGTGTCTGCTAAAAATATAAAATTAGCCAGGCATGGTGATGCATGCCTGTAATCCCAACTACTCGGGAGGCTGAGGCAGGAGAACCACTTGAACCCGGGAGGCGAAGGTTGCAGTGAGCTGCGATCGTGCTATTGCGCTCCAGCCTAGGTGACAGAACGAGACTCTGTCTCAAAAAAAAAAAAAAAAAAAAGTAACTAGTGATTTCTGAAGGTATGGAATTTGGCCAGGTGCAGTGGCTCACACCTGTATTCCCAGCACTTTGGGAGACTGAGACAGGAGGATTGCTTGAGGCCAGGAGTTCACAACCAGCCTGAGCAACACAGCATGACTCCATCTCTATAAAACATTAAAAAATTAGTAGCACACCGGTAGTCCCAGCTACTCAGGAGGCTAAGGTGGGAAGACCACTTAAAGCACAGGAGTGTGAGGCTGCAGTGAACTATGATCACACCACTGCTCTCCAGCCAGTGACAGAGTGAGAACCTGTCTCTAGAAAAATATGTTTAAAAAAAGGTATGGAATTTGCCCAAGGTCATACAGCAAGCAAGGAGCAGAGCTAGAATTTCAATCCCAGTTTGACTCTTTAAACCTGACTTTAACTTCAAGGCAATACTGTCTCCCACAGCCCTCAAATACTTCATTCTCATTTTACAGCTCGAGCCAGACAAGCCTGAAAGCCTGTTGGGCCTTTTGCCCAAGCTCACAGAATACTGCACCAAGATTCAGTGACTCCTATTACAGTGCTCATTAATTGCATGGTAATCAACACTACTGGTGAACAAGGGTAGTTTATTCGCTTATTCATTAACTCATCCAAATCTAGAATTCTATAAAAGTACATAAACACTTTCCAAAGGATTTTGCCCAAAGGATATATAGGCTAGCAGTGTCCTCCTAGGAGAATAGACCAACATAAATCTAAATATCATCTCAAAGATTTCACTTGAGTGTATGATAAGTATTTAAAGCCTTGATGATTTCAGCTGATCAACTTCAAACCCAAATGCCCCTTTTCTTATCTGGCAAAACAAAATAATAAACAAAAACCCTTTGCATCTATTAGGTTCCATTTGTTAATTAACATATAATTGGCGTACAGTAAACTGCACATATTTAAAGTGTGTGATTTAATGAGTTTTGACATACATATACAAATGTGAAACCATCACCACAATCAAAATAGGGAAAGAGCCATCGCCCCAAAAGTTTCTTCATGCTCCTTTATACTCCGTCCCTCTCATCCTTTCCTGCCTGCCTGCCTCTATCCCCAGGTAACCACTACAGATTAGTCTGCATTTCTAGAATTTCATAGAAATGGAGTCTTACAGTATATACTCCTGTTTGTCTGGTTTCTTCCACTCTGCATAAATCCATGTTGTGAGTACCAACGGTTCATTCGTTTTTGTTGCTGAGTAATACTCCATTGTATGGATGTACCACATTTGTTTATCCATTCACCTGCTGACGGACATTTGGATTGTTTCCAGCTTTGGGCAATCACAAATAAAGCTGACTTGAACATTCACGTTCAAGTCTTTGTGTGGTGTGGGGCGGGGTGGAGAGGGAGTACTTAAAAGCAAACACAATGAAATATGAGAAGCACTAACCAAAATGCTTAAATTTAAAATGAACTTCAACTGTGGAGTAAGAAATATCTTAGCCACCTTGGGTAAGTCAATCAGCTTCTCTGTCAATACTCTTATATACGATGCCTGCTTGTTCCCAACCGCAGTTTGTAAAGAAAAATGGAATAGGAAGCAGAATGCTTTTGGAATTCTCACAAGTAAGCTATTCCTTCTTTTCCCCCTCTTAAATTCCCTTTATCTTAAAAAGAATAATGTTCTATGAAATGCAATGCAAAATGCAATAACATTTGAGATGTTATTTTTGAGTTATTGCTTTTTTATTTCTCTTAAATGTATATTTATTTCAACATTTTAAAAAAATTTCCTAAGCCGGTCGTGGTGGCTCACGTCTGTAATCCCAAAACTTTGAGAGGTAGAGGCGGCTGGATCACTTGAGGTCAGCAGTTCAAGTCCACCCTGGCCAATATGGCGAAACCGCATCTCTACTAAAAATACAAAAAAAAAAAAAAAATTAGCTGGGGTGAGGGTCGCTTGTAATCCCAGCTACTTGGCAGGCTGAGGCAGGAGAATCCCTTGAACCTGAGAGGCAGAGGTTGCAGTGAACCGAGATACAGCCATTGCACCCTAGGTTGGGCAACAGAGCAGGACTCCTGTCTAAAAAAAAATAATAATAAAAATTCCTATATGCCTTTTGCTTTCCACCAGCAACATAAAATTAAAATAAATACAAACGGCTATTTTTTCTTTTTTTTTCTCTTTGCCTTTTTCCACATGTTCTAACAAATGGCTATTTTAAAGAATAAGCAAAAGCCTCACTCTGCATTCTTTTTTTTTGTTTTGTTTTGGAGATGGAGTCTCACTCTGTGGCCCAGGCTGGAGCGCAGTGGCCTGATCTCGGCTCACTGCAAGCTCCGCCTCCTGGGTTCACGCCATTCTCCTGCCTCAGCCTCCCGAGTAGCTGGGACTACAGGCGCCCGCCACCACGCCCGGCTAATTTTTTGTATTTTTAGTAGAGACGGGGTTTCACCGTGTTAGCCAGGATGGTCTCGATCTCCTGACCTCGTGATCTGCCCGCCGTGGCCTCCCAAAGTGCTGGGATTACAGGCATGAGCCACCACGCCCGGCCACACTCTGCATTCTTAATTCACTCATAGTAAGATCCAAAGCCCTCACCTACAAGGATCTACTTGATTTGTATCCCCTGCTCCCCATCTCTCCTCTCCCCTTTAGCTTACTGGGCTCAGACCTCCAAATATGCTGAGGACGCTTCCCTCTCAAGGACTTGGCTCTTGCTGTCGTCTCTGTATGGGATGTTCTTTCCCATATGGTATACTCCCTCCCTCCCTTCAGGTCTCTGCTCAAAAGCCATCCTGGGCTTTCCTTTTGTGTCCACCCTATATAAAACAGGACAGGCTGGGTGCAGTGGCTGACGCCTGTAATCCCAACTCTTTGGGAGGCGGAGGTGGGCAGATCACCTGAGGTCCGGAGTTCAAGACCAGCCTGACCAACATGGTGAAACTCATCTCTACTAAAAATACAAAAATTAGCCAGGCGTGGTGGTGCGTGCCTGTAATCTCAGCTCCTCAGGGGGCTGAGGCTGGAGAATCGCCTCAACCCGGGAGGTGGAGGCTGCAGTGAGCAGAGATGGCACTACTGCATTCCAGCCTGGGAAACAGAGCAAGAATCTCTGTCTCGAACATAAATAATTAAAAATAAGATAAAATAAAACAGGACAGTTGGCTGAGTGCAGTGACTCATGCTGAGCACTCTGGGAGTCTCAGGTGGGAAGATCACTTGAGGCCAAGAGGAATTCAAGACCAGCCTGGACAATATAGCAAGGCCCCAACTCTAATAAAAAAAAAAAATAAAACAAAAAAACGGAGCCCTCTTTCCAATGCTCTCCATCTCTTTACTGAGCTATACTTTTCTCTTTAGCACTTATCATTTGCCTCTATGTCATGTTACATATTTGTCATTGTCTATATCATCCCACTAAATTATAAGCTTTTTGAGGACAAGGATTTTATTTTATCCACTGCTATATCCCCAACATCCAGGACGGTTGGCCCAGCTCACTCTAAATTCCACCAATACTTGTTGAATGAATTAGTTGATTAAACATTATTTATTGCTTTAAAAAAAAATCTGTTTAGAAATTTACTGGGAAGAGGCCGGGTGCGGTGGCTCACGCCTGTAATCTCGGCACTTTGGGAGGCTAAGGAAAGCAGATTATTTGAGGTTAGGAGTTCGAGACCAGCCTGGCCAACATGGTGAAACCCAGTGTCTACTAAAAATACAAAATTAGCTGGGCATGGTGGCACATGCCTGTAATCCCAGCTAACTGGAAGGCTGAGGTAGAAGAATTGCTTGAACCCGTGAGGTGGAGGTTGCAGTGAGCCGAGATCGCATCACTGCACTCCAGCCTGGGTAACAAGAATAAAACTCGGTCTCAAAAAAGAAAGAAAGAAAGAAAGAAAAAGAATTTACTGGGAAGAAAAATTTTAATTCAAATACTCTGGATCTGCTTAAATTAAAATACTAAATTCATGTTGATCTACTTCTTAGGAGGGATTCTTTCTTTAGATTGACTTTGAGCAGCGCTTACAGGGTGAACAGAACACTGGAATCCAAAGGTAGAAAAGCTAGGGTCTAGTCATTGCCCTGCCACAACTAGCTATGCTATAGTGACTAAGTCATAACCTCATCTTCTGATCACTGAGATCTCCTGATCTCAGAGAACTTCTTTCTAAAATGAGGGACATTATTATCTCTAAAGTCTCTTCTGCTCTAAAATTCTAAGACTCTTTTTTTCTTTTTTTGACGGAGTCTCGCTATGTTGCCCAGGCTGGAGTGCAGTGACGCGATCTCAGCTCACTGCAAGCTCCGCCTCCCGGGTTCACACCATTCTCCTGCCTCAGCCTCCCGAGTAGCTGGGACTACAAGCGCCCGCCACCACGCCCGGCTAATTTTTTGTATTTTTTTTTTTAGTAGAGACGGGGTTTCACTGTGTTAGCCAGGATGGTCTCAATCTCCTGACCTTGTGATTCGCCCGTCTTGGTCTCCCAAATTGCTGGGATTACAGGCATGAGCCACTGCGACCGGCGTAAAATTCTAAGACGTCTATTGCACTCTTCTGCAGTAAGGTTGCCAGTCATAATTAGTCAACTTGAGTCCCGTTCCTCATAATCCGAAAGTGTTAACTGAAGGATTCTATATATTATAAAACTCTGTGGAAAATGGCCATTATTCACCCAGATGTCCACTGGAAGGAGAGGCTTGAAACACTGTATTTCATAGGTGTGGTGGTATTTCAAAAGATAGCTTTTAAAAAATTAATAAACCGGCCAGACGCTGTGGCTCACGCCTGTAATCCCAGAACTTTGGGAGGCCGAGGCGGGAGGATCACAAGGTCAGGAGATTGAGACCATCCTGGCTAACATGGTGAAACCCCGTCTCTACTAAAAATACAAAAATTAGCTGGGTGTGGCGGCATGCGCCTGTAGTCCCAGCTGCTGGGGAGGCTGAGGCAGGAGAATGGTGTGAACCCAGGAGGCGGAGCTTGCAGTGAGCTGAGATTGTGCCACTGCACTCCAGCCTGGGCGACAGAGCAAGACTCCGTCTCAAAAAAAAAAACCAAAAATTAATAGACCACGAATCTTCCTCAAATATGAAAAAGAAACAGTTACTAAAAGAAAATAGAGATTCTTCCTTCTGTAGCCAGTTATGAAATTTAAAATAATTGCAAATAAAAATACTATACATGCATGGAGGCAATAAAATATTATGATGAGGAGCAGATGTGCAGTGAACAGAACTAGGTTAACGTGCAAGCTCTTCATGTGCTCTTGAACAAGTCGAATACCTACTCTGCACTTCCTTCATCTGTACAATGAGTGCAATATTTCCAATTGTTAGGCTCTTTTGAGAATTTAATAAAATAATGCCTGACATGTAGGATACATTTAATCAATATTATTAAGTAATTAAATATGTGCTGGGCATGGTGGCTCATGCCTGTAATCCCAGCACTTTGGGAGGCCAAGGCAGGCGGATCACCTGAGGTCAGGAGTTCGAGACTTGCCTGGCCAACATGGCAAAACCTTGTCTCTACTAAAAATACAAAAATTAGCCCGGCATGGTGGTGTATGCCTGTAATCCCAGCTACTTGGGAGGCTGAGGCAGGAAAATTGCCTCAACCCGGGAGGTGGAGGTTGCAGTGAGCTGAGATGGAGCCACTGCACTCTAGCCTGGGCAACAGAGAGAGACCCTGTCTCAAAATAAAAAATAAAAAGATTTTTTATATATATATATATATATGTGAATACACCCACACAAACACAAATCTAATAGCCACAAAAACATTCTTAGCTATCTATTTCTCCTGATACCATGGAGCCTGTATAACATGGAAAGAATGAAACAAGTTATTCACTACTACCAGTCATAAATGTTTATCACCCATACACATACTAGTTGCTGAGAAATCAGACCATAAATTTAAAAAGCAATTAAAAAAAAAAATCTAGCAGGCCAGAGAGGTTCTTTCCTTTGAAAACCATTCTTCTGTGGAAATAGCTGACAAATTCACGCAATACATTTATAAACATTTTAGGAAAACCAACATCACAGATATTTTAACTAATCCTACTCTTTCTAATCCTAAAAATAAACTACATAAATGACATATATGTATAAATTTTGGTTCTGTGAACTTGGATTAGTCTTTAAGAAACAAAGAGCATAGGCACGGCATAGTGGCTCACGCCTGTAATCTCAGCACTTTGGGAAGCCAAGGCAGGCAGATCACTTGAGGTCAGGAGTTCGAGACCAGCCTGGCCAACATGGTGAAACCCTGTCTCTACTAAAAATACAAAAATTAGCCAGGCATGGTGGCGCGTGCCTGTAATCCCAGCAACTCGGGAGGCAGAGGCAGGAGAATCGTTTGAATCCGGGAGGCAGAGGCTGCAGTGGGCTGAGATCGCGCCACTGCACTCCAGCCTGGGCGACAGAGCAAGACTCGGTCTCGGGGGAAAAAAAAGAAAAGAAAGAAACAAAGAGCATCCACTTTCCACCTTTCACACACAACACAGCCAATTAAATCAAAAGATTCCACTATCATAGCATAATACCCCTTGAGTTTTCAGGCAGATAAGACACTCAGACACACCTTGCTTGTTATAGAACAGGCCCAAATGAGACACAATAAAACGATGATTCCATGTTAGGAATTCCCTACCAACCATATCCTCCTCTTTTTGGTGACTAGATTGTAAAATAAGTCAATTAAGAGTTCATAACGGAAGTGCTGAAGCAACCGCAAATCCAGACACAAAAATACAGTGGAACGTATTCGCATCTCAAGCACGTCCAAATGTCTCGGCCAATGTGATCCGATCACTGCCGTTTCCAGAAACACACAGTAATGGCTTTTAATTCATTTCTATAAATGTTCGTTGTGCGTAAAGCCAAACTGCACGCAAAACCGCAAAACACAAAAGATCCCTCGCATGCCGTTTATAGCCAGAAGATAGGCCATCCTCTCTGCGCCCTACCCCAGAAAGCTCTCCTTACGGCAGTAAAAATTTGATGACACCCCATGCTACCTACACATCAAAATGTCATCCCACAAAGTGGAAGGGGAGCAGTGTCAGCATCCGTTGGCCTCCATGAAACGACACTGCCAGTATTCCCACCTCTAGGCAAACACGAACCCAAGTGAAGTCGATGGAAAGTTCCCACCAACCAGGCATATTTGGTTCCCTTCTGCCCCCAAGGCCAAGCAGCTCAACTGATGAGATCTGCTGTTGCACCTGCCACGGCTCTGAACCCGGGATGCTTGGCGACCCCCGGGGCACACAAAAAGGCCCTGCGGCCTAACGCGCCAGTGACCCTTCCCCGAGAGTGCATGGAGGGCCGCTGGAGCATCCCTCTCGCTGTCCACAGCGCCCGCTTCCCTGACAAAGGCCCCGTGTCAATCCATCCGAGACACAACACAGAGAAGTTGCTGGATTGCCCATCGCGGACCCGCAGCTGCCACTACCCTCTCCCGGAAAAAAACCAAACCAAACCAAACAAAAAAAACAGAACTAGGGAAGAAAAGGATGGGAGGGTACACAGCGTGAAAATCAAAATGTTCCCAAAGCTAAGCAACCTGGGTGTGCCCTGGAAGTGGGTCCTGGGGGCCCGTGGGGGAGGGGAGGGAGGGCCCGGGTGGTGGCGGTGGCTCCTCTGGGGCATGAAGGCCGAGCCAGGCGCTAGCCTAATAAAATGCCGGGTGTCGGAACGCTCAAAAGAAAACCACAAATGAAATCCCCTGCGGGCGCCAGGCCCCGAGGAGGGAGGGAGGGAGAGCGGGGCGGGCGGTCCGCAGACCTGCGGCCGCGGCCCCACCTGCCCGCCCCGCGCCCACACACACCTGCCCCGGCAGCCGCCGGGAGGCGAGGCCGCGGCTGAGGCGAGGAGGGGGCCCGACCCGGGGGTGCCGGGCGAGTGGGTCAGTCCGATGGCGGGGGCCGGGGGCCGCCTCGCTCACCTCCAGGTCGGTGTCCGCGGCCTCTGGGGCCCCGAGGATCTCGCTGGGCAGCTCGGCCAGGTCGGTGACCCGGATCAGCCCGTCGTGCAGGAAGATGGTCTCTTCCTTCACCGAGAGCCACTGCGCCGAGTCAGCGGCCGCCGCCGCCGCCGCCGCCGCGGCCGCCGACGAGCCCATGGCCCCGGCTGAAGGCTTGGCGCTGAGGAGCAGACGCCCGGCCGGGGGAAACGGAGCAGGAGCCGCCGCGATCACCAGTCCATGGCAGCGGCCGCCGCGCCCGCCAGCGGCGCCCCACTTGCTGCCTCGCCCGTGCAACTCCGCCCTAGGCGGTCCGAGTCGCCATACCCCCGACCCCGGCCCGGGAGACCCCGGCCCTGCCGCCGCCGCCGCCGCCGCCGCCGCCGCCGCCCTCAGGAGCAGGATCCGCCTCTGCCGCTCGGCAACCAACTGTCAGTGAGACGCCATGTTGGGGGCGGGGCTCCCGGCATGCCTCGCGGAGCGGACAATACAGGCCCCGCCCGCCGCTCCGCCCACCGCTCCGCGGACGAGGCCACCCGGGTGGCCTGGACGTCCGCCTAGCCCTTCGCTGCCGCCTGCCCTCGGCCTGACCTCCGCCGGCCCCTTCTCCCCCTGGCCATTCAGGGTAGCCCTGGCTTTGCAGCGCGCCAGGGAAGAGGACGCCGCTTCCCCCGTCCTGTCCCTACTCAGGTGTGCACCCCTTGCTCGGGCCCGCGCCCCCACCCTGGGCAGAGCATAGAGATCACTCCTTGTTTTCACGTTTAAATGAGATGCAAGCAAAAGGCTGGCGCAGAATAGGCGCTGCACACTTGTTCATAAGCACTTGGTAGAATCACATAGTAGATGATTAATATTGACTGAAAAGTCTAGTACCCAGTAAGCACTCAAAACCTGGTGAAAATAAAGCGTCTGTCCACAATGCTTGGTGCTCAATGCCCGACACTTAATATGTGCTCCATGAGTGGCAATTCTAATTATTGCTATGTTCGTTCCATCAGTGTTCCACACTAATTGACATACACCTTAAAAATATGCTCACTAGGCCGGGTGCGGTGGCTCACACCTGTAATCCCAGCACGGAGGTCAAGGCAGAAGGACTGCTTGAGCCCAGAAGTTTGAGGCCAGCCTGGGCAACATAGGGAGACCCCATCTCTACAAAAAATAAAAATTAGCGGGGCAGGGTGGCAAGCGTCTGTAGTCCTGCTACTCGGGAGGCTGAGGCAAGAGGATCTCTTGAACTCAGGAGGTGGAGGCTGCAGTGAGCTATTATCTTGCCACTGCACTCCAGCCCGGGCGACAGAGGGAGACCCCATCCCTCCCTCCCCACCAAAAATATATATATGCCCACCAGTGCCATTTTATAAAAACAAGAAAGGAAAACTATATGTATAAAGAACAATGCATGAACAAATACACACCAGATGTTTAAGGTGAGTTGCCATGGGAGTGTGGGGCTGGTCTGGAACTACTGAGATGAGATTGTTCTCTATTACTTGTATATTTTTATCACTTAAAAAATAATAAAACAGGCCGGGCACAGTGGCTTACACCTGTAATCCCAGCACTTTGGGAGGCCAAGGTGGGCAGATCACCTGAGGTCAGGAGTTCGAGACCAGCCTGGTCAACATGATGAAACCCTGTCTCTGCTAAAAAAAATACACAAATTAGCCAGGAATGGTTGCACATGCCTGTAGTCCCAGATACTCAGGAGGCTGAGGCAGGAGAATAGCTGGAACCCAGGAGGCGGAGGTTGCAGTGAGCCGAGATCATGCCACTGCACTCCAGCCTGGGCAACAGAGCAAGACTCCATCTCAATAATAATAATAATAATAATAATAACAATAACAATAACAGGAGAACATTAAGGTGCATACCCTTTGATCCAGCAATTCAACTTTGAGGAAGTTGTCTGAAGGAAATAATCAGACTCGTAGTCAAGGATGGATATACAGGGTTGTGTAGCTCAATATTGTTTACAAAAGGAAAAACTTATCAATCTAGATGTCCAACAATATGGGGCTGGTTAACTAAAATATGATATATCCATAAGATGGAATATTATGGCCGGGCACAGTGGCTCACGTGGGTAATCCCAACACTTTGGGAGGCCAAGGCTGGCAGATCTCTTGAGCCCAGAAGCTCGAGACCCCCTTGGGCAACATGACAAAACCCCGTCACTACAAAAAATACAAAAATTAGCCAGGCGTGGTGGTGCACACCCATAGTCCCAGCTACTCAGGAGGCTGAAGCAGGAAGATCGTTTGAGCCCAGAAGGCAGAAGTTGCAGTGATTCAGCTAAGATTATGCCACTGCACTCCAGCCTGGGCAACAGAGTAAGACCCTGTCTCAAAAAAGAAGAAAAGAAGAGGAAGAGGAGGAAGAAGAGAACAATAAATCCAGCAGTTCAGAGTTGATCAGAACCATGGAAACAATAAAACAGGCAAGTGTAATGGAATGGCCATTTCATCAAATCCTCCCAAATGTCTGAGAGGGGGAGTATTATTATTCCTACTTTCAGCTGGGAAGTCAAGACTCAGTTAGATACTTTGCTCAATGTCACAAAGCCAGTAAACATCAAAGCTCAGATGTAAACCCAGGTCTGTCCGATTTTACAACTTCAGCTTCCTTATTTTGACTGTAAGAAAACTCCTTCATTCCTTTTTTTTTTTTTTTTGAGACGGAGTCTTGCTCTGTTGCCCAGGCTGGAGTGCAATGGCATGATCTCGGCTCACTGCAACCTCTTGACTCACTGCAACCTCTGCCTCCTGGTTTCAAGTGATTCTCCTGCCTCAGCCTCCCGAGTAGCTGGGATTACAGGCGTGCACCACCATGCCTGGCTAATTTTTGTATTTTTAGTAGAGACGGGGTTTTACCATGTCGGTCAGGCTGGTCTCGAACTCCTGACCTCGTGATCTACCCGCCTCGGCCTCCCAAAGTGCTGGGATTACAGGTGTGAGCCACCGCGCCCGGCCCTTCATTCCCTTTTCCAAACCTAATAACAACTATCTATCACAATTAAAAATATATATATAGGCTGGATGTGGTGGCTTGCACCTGTAATCCCAGCATTTTGGGAGGCTGAGGCAGGCAGATCACCTGCGGTCAGGAGTTCGAGAGCAGCGTGGCCAACATGGCAAAACCCTTTCTCTACTAAAAAATATATAAAAATTAGCCAGGTGTCGTGGCGTGCACCTGTAGTCCCAGCTACTCAGGAGGCTGAGGCAGGAGAATCACTTGAACCCAGGAGGCGGAGGTTGCGGTGAGCCGAGATAGCGCCATTGCACTCCAGCCTGGGCAACAAGAGTGCAACGCTGTCTCTAAATAAATAAATAAATAAATAAACAAGCAAAATTAGGTGAGCATCGTGATGTGCAGCTGTAGTCCTAGCTACTTAGAAGGCTGAGGTGGGAGGATTGCTTGAGCCCAGGAGGTTGAAGCTGCAATGAGCCATGGTTGTGTCACTGCACTCTAGCCTGGGTGACAGAGAGAGACCCTGTCTCTATTATTTATTTTATTTTATTTTTTTTGAGACAGAGTCTTGCTCTGTCACCCAGGCTGGAGTGCAGTAGTGCAATCTTGGCTCACTGCAACCTCCATCTCCTGGGTTCAAGTGATTCTCCTGCCTCAGCCTCCCGAGTAGCTGGGATTACAGGCATGTACCACCACGCTCGGCCAATTTTGTATTTTTAGTAGAGGCGGGGTTTCACCATGTTGGTCAGGCTGGTCTCAAAGTCCTGACCTCAGGTGATCCACCCACCTCGGCCTCCCAAAGTGCTGGGATTACAGGCATGAGCCACTGCGCCTGGCCCATTTTATTTTATTTATTTATTTCGAGATGGAGTTTCACTCTGTCACCCAGGCTGGAGTGCAATGGCTAGATCTTGGCTCACTGCAACCTCCGCCTCCCGGGTTCAAGTGATTCTCCTGGTTCAGCCTCCCGAGTAGTTGGGATTACAGGCACCCACCACCACACCCGGCTAACTTTTGTACGTTTAGTAGAGATGGGGTTTCACCATGTTGGCCAGGCTGGTATTTTTTCATTTTTAAAAAAATTTTTTTAGAGATGGGCTCTGCCTGTGTTGCCTAGGCTGATCTCCAACTCCTAGCCTCACGTGATATTCACACCTTGGCCTCCCCAAAGCACTGGGATTACAGGCATGAGCCACTATGACCGGCCCATCACAATTTTTAAATGCTTAGATTCAGGACTCTAACCATCTTAAATAGTTCAGATAAAATTTCTTCTATACTTAGTCTTATTTCTTCTACTCTTAATGATGTTTTAAGATCAGGAGTCAAGGTGCCCAGGAACTCTTGTCCTTCAGCCTAAGTGATGAAAACAGCACAGATCTAGGGCTTAAAGTCTTTAGACTGCATAATGAATAGTTATTTAATATTTTAGCAACAGTAATTAATTAGTCATAGGACTGCATGGCTGCCACTGCACCATGATGAGGCAGCTGATGAATTAATATTTATAGAACCCCCTCCGGAAAGGAGACCATTTAGTAGGGATTTCTAGAACAGATCAGCAAGACAAAGAAAATGCCTGGTCAAAAGAACTTTAGGTTGGAAGCTACGAGGAAGAGAATCTGTATCTAGTCTAGACAACACACACATACACACACAAGACATTCATTTATAGGAAGGAAAGATTTATGGCTTATGACTTCTTTTCTTTGGAATCGTCATTTCTACTCTTCTATTCAAGAATGGGGGATCAGGATGGGAAAAGGAGCAAGAGAAAGTGTTGGCTGGGCAACCCTAAGTTAGAAGCAGAGAAGAAATATGAGGAAAATAGGAAGAATAGCTATGACTAGGTTGGACCTCAGTTACTCCTGGGAGGCATCTCCCCAAGAGGGAGCAGCAGGCTTGTTGATGGAGATCATCTCCCTCCTGCCCCAGCTGCTGACGTGATACTCGCTAGCCCTGGCTCAAGCTGGGGCCCCTCTGGGATTTTGCAATATCTCTCCCTTCTGCTGGTTTTCTATACCAGCTGACTGTCTAAAATGACTTCGTAATCCTTCCTGGGTCCAAAAATATGTGAGTGTGGTGTGAAGATAAGTGGTCCTTGATAAACTTTATTAGAGCTTAAAGGTGGTTTTAGATGAGGCAGCCATGTTAATTTTTAAGGCCTTTCAAAACACCAAGGAAAAAATACACACACACACACACACACACACACACAGAACCTATGGGGGAGATTGATTATTTCCGTCTTACTAATTACAGTCTCAAAGAGGAAACACACACACCTACTCAAAATCTTTTTTCCAAGTGTTCTGGTAGGCCCTGTTCATATTTTTATTTCAAAGAAGATTATTTTGGCTCATGGGTGGATCTATGTGGTAACAGGGAAAAGAAATCAGATGAAAGAGATATTTGAAAACGAGGAGGGGGAAATTCTCCTTGGAGCACCACTGAATTGCTAAAACTAAAGGACGGGTCTCCACATTGATGAAAAGCCAGAAGATGAAGCAGCATTAAATGCCTTTCTCATTTGAAAAGATCATCAGCAGCAGGGAGCTCTGAAAGATGCTATGTCCTCCATCGCCACCTTGTGTGCATCACAGGCCTTGCTGCACTGGGATTTGTAGTTCAGACTTGGAAATTTGCTAACATTCGTCTCCTGCAAAAAAATTAGATTAAGAAAAAGTTGTGGCCGGGCGCGGTGGCTCACGCCTGTAATCCCAGCACTTTGGAAGGCCGAGGCGGGTGGATCACGAGGTCAGGAGATAGAGACCATCCTGGCTAACACGGTGAAACCCCGTCTCTACTAAAAATACTAGCCGTGCGCGGTGGCAGGCGCCTGTAGTCCCAGCTACTCGGGAGGCTGAGGCGGGAGAATGGCGTGAACCCAGGAGGCGGAGCTTGCGGTGAGCCGAGATCGCGCCACTGCACTCCAGTCTGGGCAACAGAGCGAGACTCCGTCTCACAAAAACACAAAAAAACAAAAACAAAAAGTTATGGCTCATGCCTGTAATCCCAGCACTTTGGGAAGCCGAGGTGGGCGGATCACCTGAAGTCAGGAGTTCGAGACCAGCCTGGCCAACAGGGCAAAACCCCATCTCTACTAAAATTACAAAATTAGCCAGGTGTGGTGGTGCGCGCCTGTAATCCCAGTTACCCAGTTACCAGGAGGCTGAGGCATGAGAATCACTTGAACCCGGGAGATGAATGTTGCAGCGAGCCGAGATTACGCCACTGCACTCCAGCCTGGGCAACCTAACGAGTCCATCTCAAAAAATAAAAATAAAAATAAAAATAAAAAAGTTGTTAGCACAAAGGAAAAGTGGACAAAAGATATTATTGAAGAGTTTTCACTCAAGGAAAAGCAAACACTGTACGTTTTTGTTCCTTCAGTATTCATTAAATGCCTACTCTGTGCCAGGCAGAGTTAGGTTTGAGGATCGAGTTCCCAAGGAGACTGGCAGCTTCCCTTTCTCATGAAAGACAGGGAGGCTGCTTGAAGGAATCATTCCAACGGGGATGAGAAGTCCGGGCACCTAGTCTGGGGGTGAGGTTCCCGGAAGATGTTGAGTTTAAAGCTGGTAACTGCTACGTATGAGTTAATGAATGTGAGGATGGTGGGGGAAACTTCAATACTATTATTCACCAAAAAAAGCACATGCAATGCAGTGTGGTGTTTGAATCATGGACTGCTTGGATTTGGTCCCAGATCTTTTGCATGTTACCATGAAGAAGTAATTCCACCTACCTGTTTCCCAGTTTTCTGGGATGATGGTGGTGGTATCTACCTTCATAAGTAAGCAAGGTTGGTTCCTTCTGAGGATTTTTTGTTTGTTTCTTTGTTTGTTTGTTTGAGACAGGGTCTCAGTCTGTTTCCCAGGCTGGAGTGCAGTGGTGCGATCTCAACTCACTGCAACTTCTGCCTCCCAGGCTCAAGTGATCCTCCCGCCTCAGCCTTCTGAGTAGCTGGGACCATGGGCATGCACCACCATGCCTGGCTAATTTTTGTATTTTTTTGTAGAGACAGGGTTTCGCCATGTTGCTCAGGCTAGTCTCGAACTCCTGAGCTCAAGCAACTGCCCACCTCTGCCTCCCAAAGTGATAGGATTAGAGGTGTGAGCCACCACACCTGGCCCTTCTGAGAGTTTTGAAAGAAGAATCTATTCCAGACCTCTCTCCATGGCTTGTAGATGACCATAGTCTTCCTATGTCTCTGTATATTGTCTTCCCTTGGTGTGTGTCTGTGTCCAAATTTGTTCGTCTCTCTCTTTTTTTTTTTTTTTTTTTGAGACAAGGTCTCACTTTGTTGCTGGAGTGCAGTGGCACGATCACGGCTCACTGCAGTCTCAGCCTGCTAGGCTCAAGTGAACCTCCCTCTTCAGCCTCCCTAGTAGCCGGGACTACAGGCATGTGCCACCACACCTGGCTAATTTTTTTTTTTTAAAGATGGGGTCTTGCTGTGTTGCCCAGGCTTGCCTACAACTGCTGGACTCAAGAAGTCCTCCCGCCTTGACCTCCCAAAGTGCTGGGATTACAAGCATGAGTCACCACACCTGGCCCAAATTTTCTCTTTTTACAAGAACATTAGTCATATTGGATTGGGCCCCCATCTTAAGGACTTCATTTTAACTTGATTCTCTCTCTCTCTGAAGACCCTGTCTCCAAATAACATTACATCCTGAGGTACTGAGGGTTAGGACTTCATCATGTAAATTTTCAAAGGGACACAGTTCAGCCCATAACAGAAATGGAGCTATGATTCCCTGAGATAGGAAGTATTAGGGAAGAAACATGTGGGGAAGGAGGGCAGAGAACCAAGAATTGGAAAGAAAAACAGTTAAAGTCATGAGACTATTCATTTATAATGATTTACATTTTATGGGATCTAATTACACTAAAGAGCTTCTGCACAGCAAAAGAAACTACCATCAGAGTGAACAGGCAACCTACAGAATGGGAGAAAATTTTTGCAATCTACTCATCTGACAAAGGGCTAATATCCAGAGTCTACAAAGAACTCAAACAAATTTACAAGAAAAAAACAACCCCATCAACAAGTGGGCGAAGGATATGAACAGACAGTTCTCAAAAGAAGACATTTATGCAGCCAACAGACACATGAAAAAAGGCTCATCATCACTGGCCATCAGAGAAACGCAAATTAAAACCACAATGAGATACCATCTCACACCAGTTAGAATGGCGATCATTAAAAAGTCAGGAAACAACAGGTGCTGGAGAGGATGTGGAGAAATAGGAACACTTTTACACTGTTGGTGGGACTGTAAACTAGTTTGACCATTGTGGAAGACAGTGTAGTGATTCCTCAGGGATCTAGAACTAGAAATACCATTTGACCCAGCCATCCCATTACTGGGTATATACCCAAAGGATTATAAGTCATGCTGCTATAAAGACACATGCACACGTATGTTTGTTGTGGCACTATTCACAATAGCAAAGACTTGGAACCAACCCAAATGCCCATCAATGATAGACTGGATTAAGAAAATGTGGCACATATACACCATGGAATACTATGCAGCCATAAAAAATGATGAGTTCATGTCCTTTGTAGGGATATGGATGAAGCTGGAAACCATCATTCTCAGCAAACTATCACAAGGACAAAAAACCAAACACCACATGTTCTCACTCATAGGTGGGAATTGAACAATGAGAACACTTGGACACAGGAAGGGGAACATCACACACCGGGGCCTGTTGTGGGGTGGGGGGAGGGGGGAGGGGGGAGGGATAGCATTAGGAGACATACCCAATGTAAATGGTGAGTTAATGGGTGCAGCACACCAACATGGCAAATGTATACATATGTAACAAACCTGCACGTTGTGCACATGTACCCTAGAACTTAAAGTATAATTAAAAAAAAAAAAAAAATATATATATATATAAAGATTTACATTTTAAAATAAAATAGGCTGGCTGTGGTGGCTCAAGCCTGTAATCCCAGCACTTTGGGAGGCTGAGGTGGGCGGATCACTTAGGCCAGGAGTTTGAGACCAGCCTGGCCAACATGATGAAACCCCGCCTATACTAAAAAAAAATACAAAAATTAGCCGGGCATGGTGGCGGACCCCTGTAATCCCAGCTGCTTAGGAGGCTGAGGCACTAGAATCACTCCAACCCAGGAGGTGGAGGTTGCAGTGAGCGGAGATCGTGCCACTGCACTCCAGCCTGGTCGACAGAATGAGGCTCGGTCTCAGAAAAATAAATAAATCAAACAAAAACAAAACAAAAAATAATTTGCATTGTATACTCTCACTTGTCACCTGCTTCAGGTCATCTCAGGCCAGTGCCCATCTTTATATGCATATAAAAACATAGATATATAAAGACATATATATATATATATATATATATATAAAGACATATATATATAAAGACATATATATATAAAGACATATATATATATAAAGACATATATATATGTCTTTTTTCGTATACTTGTTGGACATTTATATATATATATATGGGGTAGAAATGCAATTACATTACATGAGAAGTGGTCAAGTCAGGGCTTTTAGGGTATCTGTCATCCAAATAGTATACATTGTACCCATTATGTAATTTCTCATCATCTACCCCCTAACACCCCCTCATCCTTCTGATCTCCAGTATCTATCATTCTACTCTCTATGTCCATGTGTACACCTTTTTTAGCACTGACTTAGGAATGAGAACATGCAATGTCTATTTTTCTTTTTTTTTTTTTTTGAGACAAAGTCTCACTCTGTGACCCAGACCGGAGAGCAGTGGCGCGATCTCGGCTCACCGCAATCTCAGTTCAAGCCATTCTTGTGCCTTAGCCTCCCAAGTAGCTGGAACCACAGGGACATGCCACCACGCCTGGCTAAATATTTTGAATTTTTAGTAGAGACAGGGTTTCACCATGTTGGCCAGGCTAGTCTCGAACTTTTTTTTTGAGACAGAGTTTCGCTCTGTCGACCAGGCTGGAGTGCAGTGGTGCAATCTTGGCTCACTGAAACATCCATCTCCGGGGTTCAAGCAACTCTCCTGCCTCAGCCTCCCAAGTAGCTGGGATTACAGGTACATGCCACCACACCCAGCTAATTTTTACATTTTTAGTAGAGATGGGGTTTTACCATGTTGGCCAGGCTGGTCTCAAGCTCCTGACCTCAGGTGATCTGCCCACCTTGGCCTCCCAAAATGCTGGGATTACAAGTGTGAGCTACTGTGCCTGGCCCACAGATATTTTCTTTCATTGTGTGTGTTGTTGGTTCATTATCTTGATTATTTCTTTTGCTGTACAGAAGCTTTTTGGTTTAAGTCCTGTTTGTCTGTTTTTGTTGTCTGTGCTTCTGAGATCTTAGGCATACAATGCCCATCTTCATCTCAGCAAGCCACCCTGACTGCTTGCAGTTTCTTTAACAATTGTACCATTTTCCTACCTCTAGGCCTTTGCACTTGCTGTTCCCCCTGCCAGAATGCCCTTCGCCACCTGCTTCACTTGGCAAACTCCTACCTATTCTCCAGTTATCAGCTTCCTCGTAGAGGACATCTGATTCCCCCAAACACAATAGGTCCTCCTGTTTCTCAGTCATTTTTGCACACTATTTCTTTTCATAGTAGTACTTATCTTAACTGCAATCAAATGTATATGGTTTGGATGTTTATTCCTTTTATGTCTCATGTTGAAATATGATTCCCGGGGTCGGGCACAGTGGCTCACACCTGTAATCCCAGCACTTTGGGAGGCTGAGGCGGACAGATCACTTAAGGTCAAGAATTCAAGACCAGCCTTGCTAACATGGTGAAACCCTGTCTGTACTAAAAATACAAAAATTAGCTGGTCTTGGTGGCAGGCGCCTGTAATCCCAGCTACTTGGGAGGCTGAGGCACGAGAATCACTTGAACCTGGGAGACAGAGGTTGCAGTGAGCTGAGATTGCGCCACTGCACTCCAGCTTGGGCAACAGAGAGACACTCTATCTCAAAAAAACGATCAAAAAACCTCTGGGTGTGGTGGCTCATGCCTGTAATCTCAGCACTTTGGGAGGCTGAGGCGGGTGGATCACCTGAGGTCAGGAATTCAAGAACAGCCTGAGCAATATGGTGAAACCCTGTCTCTACTAAAAATACAAAAATTAGCCTGACGTGGTGGCATGTGTCTGTAGTTCCAGCTACTCGAGAGGCTGAGACAGGAGAATTGCTTGAACCCAGAAGGTGGAGGTTGCAGTGAGCCAAGATCGCGCCACTGCAATTCAGCCTGGGTGACAGAGCAAGACTCCGTCTCAAACAAAACAAAAACAACAACAAAAAGAGATATGAAAAATATGATTTCCAGTGTTGGAGGTGGGGCCTGGTGGGAGGTGATTGGATCATGGGGAAGATGCCTCGTGAATGCTTTAGCACCCTTGATGATAATTAAGTTCTCACTCAGTTTATACTAGATCTGGTTGTTAAAAATTCTAGGACCTCTCCCCACCTCTTACTCTCTCTCTTGCCATTTGATACACTGCTCCCCTTCACCTTCCACCATGATTGTAACCTTCCTGAAGCTTTCACCAGAAGCTGATGTTAATTCCACGCTTCCTGTACAGCCTGCAGAACTGTGAGCCAAAATAAACACTCTCTCTTTATAAATTACTTAGCCTTGGCCAGGTGTGGTGGCTCACACCTATAGCCCCAGCACTTTTGGGAAGCTGAGGTGGGCAGATCACTTGAGCCAAGGAGTTCAAGACCAGCCCAGGCAACATGGTGAAACCTATCTCTACAAAAAGAAAAAAAAAATAGAAATTAGCTGGACTTTGTGGTGCATGCCTATAGTCCCAGCTACTCAGGAGGCTGAAAAGCAGGAGGATCGCTTGAGCCCAGAAAGCTGAGGCTGCAGGGAGCTGTGATGGACCCACTGCACTCCAGCTTGGGTGACAGAGTGAGACGTTATCTCAAAAAAAATATCAAATAAACAAAATTACCCAGCCTCAGGTACTTCTTTCCCATTCATAAATGCCTCCAACTGTGGTAGTATAAAGTGAGTTAAAAGTATATACTTTAGGCTGGGTGTAGTGGCTCATGCCTGTAATCCCAGCACTTTGGGAGGCCAAGACAGGTGGATCACTTGAGGTCAGGAGTTACAGACCAGCCTGGCCAGCATGGTGAAACCCCATCTCTACTAAAAATACAAAAACATTAGCTGGGCGGATGAGCACGGTGGCTCACGCCTGTAATCCTAGCACTTTGGAAGGCTGAGGCAGGTGGATCACCGAACATCAGGAGTTTGAGACCAGCCTGGCCAACATGGTGAAACCCCATCTCTACTAAAAATACAAAACTTAGCCAGACATGGTGGCAGGGCGCCTATGATCCCAGCTACTTGGGAGGCTGAGGCAGAAGAATCACTTGAACCTGGGAGGCAGAAGTTACAGTAAGCCAAGATTGAGTCACTTCACTCCTGCCTGGGCGAAAGAGCAAACTCTGTCTCAAAAGAAAGAAAGAAAGAAAAAAAAATTAGCTGGGCATGGTTGGTGTGCACCTGTAATCCCAGCTAGCTACTCAGGAGGCTGAGACACAAGTATCGCTTGAACCTGGGAGGCAGAGGTTGCAGTGAGCTGAGATCACCCTACTGCAGTCCAGCCTGGGTGACAGAGTGAGACTCTGTCTCAGGAAAAAAAAAAAAAAAAAAAAAAAGTATTTACTTTAATGTTGAAAGCAGTATGGCAGTTCCTTTAAAAATTAAACATAGAGGCTGGGTGCAGTGGCTCACGCCTGTAATCCCAGCACTTTGGGAGGCCGAGGCGGGCGGATCACCTGAGGTCAGGAGTTCGAGACCAGCCTGGCCAACATGGGGAAATACTATCTCTACTAAAAATACAAAATTAGCAGGGCATGGTGGCACATGCCTGTAATCCTAGCTACTCGGGAGGCTGAGGCAGGAGAATCGCTTGAACCTGGGAGGTGGTGTTTGCGGTGAGCCGAGATTGCACCATTGCACTCCAGCCTGCGCAACAAGAATGAAACTCTGTCTCAAAAAAAGAAAGAAAGAAAGAAAAGATCAACTTAATAAAATAAAGCGGGAAGACAAGATTAGAGAAAAAATAATAAAAAGGAATGAACAAAGCCTCCAAGAAATATACGACTATGTGAAAAGACCAAACCTGCAATTGATTGGTGTACCTGAAAGTGATGGGGAGAATGGAACCAAGTTAGAAAACACACTTCAGGATATTATCCAGGAGAACTTCCCCAACCTAACAAGACAGGCCAACATTCAAATTCAGGAAATACAGAGAACACTACTAAGATACTCCTTGATAAGAACAACCCAAAGACACGTAATCATCAGATTCACCAAGGTTGAACTGAAGGAAAAAATGTTAAGTGCAGCCAGAGAGAAAGGTCAGGTTCCCTACAAAGGGAAGCCCATCAGACTAATAGCGGATCTCTCTGCAGAAACCCTATGAGCCAGAAGAGAGTGGGGGCCAATATTCAACATTCTTAATGAAAAGAATTTTCAACCCAGAATTTCATATCCAGCTAAACTAAGCTTCATCGTGGAGGAGAAATAAAATCCTTTACAGACAAGCAAATGCTGAAGGATTTTGTCCCCACCAGGCCTGCCTTAAAAGAGCTCCTGAAGGAAGCACTAAATATGGAAAGGAACAACTGGTACCAGCCACAGCAAAAACATACCAAAATATAAAGAACAATGACACTATGAAGAAACTGTATCAACTAATGTGCAAAATAACCAGCTAGCATCATGACAATAGGATCAAATTCACACATAACAATATTAACCTTAAATGTAAATGGGCTAAATGCTCCAATTAAAAGACACTGACTGGGCTAGGCGCCATGGCTCATGCCTGTAATCTCAGCACTTTGGGAGGCCGAGGCAGGCAGATCACGAGGTCGGGAGATCGAGACCATCCTGGCTAACACGGTGAAACCCCGTCTCTACTAGAAACACAAAAAATTAGCCAGGCATGGTGGCAGGCGCCTGTAGTCCCAGCTACTCAGGAGGCTAAGGCAGCAGAATGGCGTGAACATGGGAGGCGGAGCTTGCAGTGAGCCAAGATTGTGCCACTGCACTACAGCCTGAGTGACAGAGTGAGACTCCATCTCAAAAAAAAAAGAAAAGACACAGACTGGGCTGGGCATGGTGGCTTACACCTGTAATCTCAGCACTTTGGGAGGCCGAAGCGGGTGGTTCACAAGGTCAGGAGTTTGAGACAACCCTGGCTGACATGGTGAAACTCCATCTCTACTAAAAATACAAAAAAAATAGCCGGGTGTGGTGGCTCACACCTGTAATCCCAGCTACTCAGGAGGCCGAGGCAGGAGAATTGCTTGAACCTGGGAGGCGGAGGTTGTAGTGAGCCAAGATTGTGCCACTGCACTCCAGTCTGGGGAACAGAGCAAGACTCCATCTCGGGAAAAGAAAAAAAAGACATAGACTGGCAAATTGGATAAAGAGTCAAGACCCATCAGTGTGCTGTATTCAGGAGACCCATCTCACATGCAAAGACACACATAGGCTCAAAATAAAGGGATGGGGGAATATTTACTAAGCAAATGGAAAGCAAAAAAAAAGCAGAGGCTGCAATCCTAGTCTCCAATAGAAATGACTTTAAACCAACCAAGATCAAAAAAGAAAAAGAAGGGCATTACATAATGGTAAAGGGATCAATGCATCAAGAAGAGCTAACTCTCCTAAATATATATGCACCCAGTACAGGAGCACACAGATTCATAATGCAAATTCTTAGAGATCTACAAAGATACTTAGACTCTCACACAATAATAGTGGGAGACTTTAACACCCCATTGTCAATATTAGACAGATCAATGAGAAAGAAAATTAACAAGGATATTCAGGACTTGAACTCAGCTCTGAACCAAGTGGACCTAATAGACATCTACAGAACTTTCCACCCAAAATCAACAGAATATACATTCTTCTCAGCACCACATAGCACTTATTCTAAAATTGACCACATAATTAGAAGTAAAACACTCCTCAGCAAATGAAAAAGAATGGAAATCATAACAGTCTCTCAGAACACAGTGCAATCAAATTAGAACTCAGGATTAAGAAACTCACTCAAAACCACACAACTACATGGAAACTGAACAACCTGCTCCTGTATGATTACTGGGTAAATAACAAAATTAAGGCAGAAATAAATAAGTTCTTTGAAACCAATGAGAACAAAAACACAATGTACCAGAATCTCTGGGACACAGCTAAAGAAGTGTTTGGAGGGAAATTTTTTTTTTTTTTTTTTTGAGACAGAATCTCGCTCTGTTGCCCAGGCTGGAGTGCAGTGGTGCGATCTCAGCTCACTGCAACCTCCGCCTCCCGGGTTCACGCCATTCTCAAGCCAAAATTGACAAATGGGATCTAATTAAACTAAAGAGCTTCTGCACAGCAAAAGAAACTATCATCAGAGTGAATAGGCAACCTACAGAATGGGAGAAAATTTTTGCAATCTGTACATCTGACAAAGCTTTTTTTTTTTGAGACGGAGTCTCGCTCTGTCACCCAGGCTAGAGTGCAGTGGCGCGATCTCTGCTCATTGCAAGCTCCACCCGCCGGGTTCACGCTATTCTCCTGCCTCAGCCTCCCGAGTAGCTGGGACTACAGGCCCCCGCCACCACGCCCGGCTAATTTTTTGTACTTTTAGTAGAGATGGGGTTTCACCGTGTTAGCCAGGATGGTCTCGATCTCCTGACCTCGTGATCCGCCCACATCAGCCTCCCAAACTGCTGGGATTACAGGCGTGAGCCACCGTGCCCGGCTGACAAAGCTTTAATGTCCAGAATCTACAAGGAACTTAAACAAATTTACAAGAAAAAAATAAACAATCCCATCAAAAAGTGAGTGAAGGATATGAACAGACAGTTCTCAAAAGAAGACATTTATGCAGCCAACAAACTTATGAAAAAAAGCTCATCATCACTGGTCATTAGAGAAATGCGAATCAAAACTACAATGAGGTAATCATCCCATGCCAGTTAGAATGATGATCATTAAAAAATCAGGAAACAACAGATGCTGAAGAGGATGTGGAGAAATAGGAATGCTTTTACACTGTTGGTGGGAGTGTAAATTAGTTGAACCATTGTGGAAGACAGTGTGGCGATTCCTCAAGATTCTAGAACCAGAAATACCATTTGACCCAGCAATCCCATTACTGGGTATATACCCAGAGGATTATATATCATTCTACTATAAAGACACATGCACACGTATGTTTATTGCAGCACTATTCACAATAGCAAGGACTTGGCACCAACCCAGATGCCCTTCAATGATAGACTGGATAAAGAAAATGTGGCACATATACACCATGGAATACTATGCAGCCATAAAAAAGAATGAGTTCATGTCCTTTGTAGGGACATGGATGAAGCTGGAAACCATCATTCTCAGCAAACTAACACAGGAACAGAAAACCAAACACCACATGTTCTCACTCATAAGTGGGAGCTGAACAATGAGAACACATGGACAGGGCCAGGCGCAGTGGCTCACGCCTGTAATCCCAGCACTTTGGAAGGCTGAGGCGGGCAGATCACGAGGTCAGGAGATTGAGACCATCCTGGCTAACACGGTGAAACCCCATCTCTACCACAAATACAAAAAATTAGCCGGGCGTGGTAGCGGGCGCCTATAGTCCCAGCTACTCGGGAGGCTGAGGCAGGAGAATGTCGTGAACCCAGGAGGCGGAGGTTGCAGTGAGCCGAGATTGCGCCACTGCACTCCAGCCTGGGCGACAGAGGGAGACTCGGTCTCAACAAAAAAAAAAAAAAAAAGAACACATGGACACAGGAGGGAGGGGAACATCAAACACTGGGGCCTGTCAGGGAGTTGAGGGCAAGGGGAGGGATAGCATTAGGACAAATAACTAATGCATGTGGGGCTTAAAACCTAGAAGATGGGTTGATGTGTGCAGCAAACCACTATGGCACATGTGTACCTATGTAAGAAACCTGCAAGTTCTGCACATGTATCTCAGAACTTAAAGTATAATAAAAAACAAAAATATAGGCCAGGCTCAGTGGCTCACGCCTGTAATCCCAGCACTTTGGGAGGCCGAGACGGGCGGATCAAAAGGTCAGATCGAGACCATCCTGGCTAACATGGTGAAACGCCGTCTCTACTAAAAATACAAAAAATTAGCCGGGCGTGGTGGCGGGCGCCTGTAGTCCCAGCTACTAGGGAGGCTGAGGCAGGAGAATGGCGTGAACCCAGGAGGCGGAGCTTGCAGTGAGCCGAGATCGCATCACCGCACTCCAGCCTGGGCAACAGAGCAAGACTCCGTCTCAAATAATAATAATAATAATAATAATAATAGTAATAATAATAATAAAAATATATAAAAAATAAAAATAAAAAAAGAATACCAAATTGGGTGGGAGATATTGTTGCCATCTTTTGAATAATATGATCTACCTCAAGCCCTAAGAATACCGAATGTAGGCCGGGTGCGGTGGCGCACGCCTGTAATCCCAGTACTTGGGAAGGCCAAGGCAGGCAGGTCACTTGAGGCCAAGAGTTCGAGACCAGCCTGGCCAACATGGAGAAACCCCATCTCTACTAAAAATACAAAAATTAGCCAGGCTTATCACGAGGTCAGGAGTTCAAGACCAGCCTGGCCAACATAGTAAAACCCTGTCTCTACTAAAAATACAAAAATTAGCCAGGCATGGTGGTGCATGCCTGTAGTCCCAGCTACTTGGGAGGCTGAGGCAGGAGAATTGCTTGAACCCAGGAGGCAGAGGTTGTGGTGAGCTGAGATTGCACCACTGCACTCCAGCCTGGGTAACAGAGCGAGACTCTGTCTCAAAAAAAAAAAAAAAAAAATTAGCCAGGCTTGGTGGCTGGTGCCTGTGATCCCAGCTACTCGGGAGGCTAAGGCACAAGAATCATTTGAACCCGGAAGGGGGAGGTTGCTGTGAGCTGAGATGGTGCCACTACACTCCAGCCTGGGTAACAGAGTGAGACTGTCTCCAAAAGACAAAAAAAAATTAAGAATACCTAAAGTTTAATCTACAGGGTTTTAAAAGTCAGAAGCAAGTCGACTTCTAAAAACTGGGGCAGGCACAGTGGTTCATGCCTATAATTCCAGCACTTTGGGAAGCCGACATGGGAGGATTGCTTGAGCCCAGGAGTTCAAGACCAGCCTGGGTAACATGGTGAGACCCTGTCTCTGCAAAAACAAATAAAAACCCAGAAAGACAAACAAACAGCAACAACAAAAACGAGCTGGGCATGGTGGCAAGCACCTGTAGTCCCAGCTACTCAGGAGGCTAAAGCTGAAGGATCACTTGAGCCAGGGCAGTCCAGGATGCAGTGAGCAGTGGTGATGATGCCACTGCACTCCAGCCTGGGTGACAGAGTGACATCCTGTCCCAAAATAAAAAATAAATAAAAACTGAAAAATTCATTATTTCTGGCACGTCTTGAGTTTAACAGGCTGAAACTCATAGTTGCTACTACTCTTCATCTTTTTTTTTTTTTTGAGACAGGGTCTTGCTCTGTTGCCCAGGCTGGAGTGCAGTGGCATGATCATGGCTCACTGCAAACTCTGCCTCCTGGGCTCAAGCGATTCTCCAACCTCAGCCTCCCGAGTAGCTGGGACCACAGGCGCCCAGCTAATTTCTTTCTTTTTTTTTTTTTTTTTTTTGTATAGACAGGATCTCATCATGTTGCCTGGGCTGGTCTTGAACTCCTGGGTTCAAGTGATCTTCCCATCTTGGCCTCCCAAAGGTCTGGGATTACAGGCGTAAGCCACTGCACCCAGTCAGTATTAGCTAATATTATTTGATCCTTTAAGACATCATAACAGGCTGGGCACGGTGGCTCACGCCCGTAATCCTAGCACTTTGGGAGGCCAAGACGGGTGGATCACTTGAGGTCAGGAGTTTGAGACCAGCCTGACCAACATGGTGAAACCCCATCTCTACTAAAAATACAAAAAATTAGCTGGGCATGGTTGCTCATGCCTGTAATCCCATCTACTTGGGAGGCTGCGGCAGGGGAATCGCTTGAACCCAGGAGATGGAGTTGCAGTGAGCTGAGATGGTGCCATGGCACTCCAGCCTGGATGACAGAGCAAGACTCCGTCTCAAAAAAAATAAATGAATAAAGACACCATAACACAAAATGTCACCTGACATTTAAAGGATAGGTAAAGTGGTTGGCGTCTAAGGCCAGACTGCCTGTAACTGCAGCCTGACATGGCGATTCTTGGGCAACTGATTTACCTGGGGAGGTGCTCTTAGAAACTACCTGTAAGAGCTGGTCACAGTGGCTCACGCCTGTAATCCCAGCAATTTGGGGGGCCAAGGCGGGTGGATCACTTGAGGTCAGGAGTTTGAGACCAGCCTGGCCAACATGTTGAAAACCCCTGTCTACTAAATATACAAAAATTAGCCGGGTGTGGTGGTGGTGGTGTGTGCCTGTAGTCTCAGCTACTTGGGATGTAAGGCAGGAGAATCTCTTGAACCTGGGAGGCAGAGGTTGCAGTGAGCTGGGAACACGCCACTGCACTTCAGCCTGGGCAACAGAGTGAGACTTCATCTCAAAAAAAAAAAAAAAAAACAAACAAAAAAACAAGAAACAAAAAAAAATCCAGGCCCAGTAGCTCACTCCTGTAATCTCAGCACTTTGGGAGGCTGAGGCAGGCGGATCACGAGGTCAAGAGATCGAGACCATCCTGGCTAACATGGTGAAACTCTGTCCCTACTAAAAATACAAAAAATTAGCCGGGTATGGTGGCGGGCGCCTGTATTCCCAGCTACTCGGGAGGCTGAGGCAGGAGAATGGCATGAACCTGGGAGGCGGAGCTTGCAGTGAGCCGAGATCACACCACTGCACTCCAGCCTGGGTGACAGAGCGAGACTCCATCTAAAAAAAAAAAAAAAAAAAAAAAAAAAAAAAACTTGCATGAGTGTGGTATATTTGTTATAACTGATGAACCAATATTGATATATTATTAACCAAAGTCTATAGTTTGCATTTGGGTTCACTTTTTGTTGTTTTTGTCATGAGCCACCACACCTGGCCAGGGTTCGCTCTTTGTGTTGCACATTCTATGGGTTTTGACAAATGGATAATGACATATATCCACCATTCTAGCACCATACAGAATAGATTCCTGGTCCTAGAAATCCTGTGGTCCACCCGTCCATCTCTCCCTCTCCACCCACCACCCACGTGCAACCTTTGATCTCTTTGCTGTCTCCTTAGTTTTGCCTTTTCCACAATGTCAAATACCTGGAATCATAGAGTATATAATATGATACAGTATATGAAAGAAGCCCTTTCCACATGGGCTTCTTTCCCTTAGCAATATGTATTTAAAGTTCCTCCACGTATGTTGTTGCTTGATAGCTCATTTCTTTTTATCACTAAATGATGTCCCATTGTATGGATGTACCACAAGGTTATCCATTCACTCGTTGAAGGACATCTTTATTGCTCCCAAGTTTTGGTAATTATGAATAATGCTGCTATACACAATTATGTACAGGTTTTGTGTAGACATGTTTTCAGTTCATGTGTAAATCGTATTCCTTTTTAACTTTTGTATTTATGCACACATTTATATAGTTGTAAAACTAAGCTTATATATTTTTTTCTTTTCTTTATTCTCCCTGGGAGCATAGATTCAAGTTGCCATGAATATACACTCCCACGTATACTTTTTTAAAAGTGATATTTTACATAATTTTCTGCAATTTGCTTTTTAAGATAACAATAATCTTTTGTTATAAAAGCAGTATATGTGCTTTTAGAAAGTTAGCTCATGTGGGTAAGTAAAAGAAAATAAAGACACATGCCAGGCATGGTGGCTCACGTCTGTAATCCCAGCACTTTGGGAGGCTGAGGCAGGAGGATCACTTGAGGTCAGGAGTTCCAGACCAGCCTGGCCAACATGGTGAAACCCTCTCTCTACTAAAAATACAAAAATACAAAAAAAAAAAAATTAGTTGGGCAGAGTGGCAGGCGCCTGTAATCCCAGCTATGCAGGAGGCTGAGGCAGAAGAATCACTTGAACTTGGGAGGCAGAGGTTGCAGTGAGCCGAGATGGCACCACTGCACTCCAGCCTGGGCGACAGAGCAAGACTCCACATCACTTATGCCACATTCTATTGGTCAAAAGGGGCAGAATCTGTTTGATCCCAAATCTTTGAAACAATGCAGAGGCTAGTGCAATGATTCTCAAAGTAGGATCTAGGGATCTTTTTTTTTTTTTTTTTTTTTTTTTTTGAGACGGAGTCTCGCTCTGTCGCCCAGGCTGGAGTGCAGTGGTGGGATCTCGGCTCACTGCAAGCTCCGCCTCCCGGGTTCACGCCATTCTCCTGCCTCAGCCTCCCAAGTAGCTGGGACTACAGGCGCCCGCCACTACGCCCGGCTAATTTTTTGTATCTTTAGTAGAGACGGGGTTTCACCGTTTTAGCCGGGATGGTCTCGATCTCCTGACCTCGTGATCCGCCCGCCTCGTCCTCCCAAAGTGCTGGGATTACAGGCGTGAGCCACCGCGCCCGGCCGGATCTAGGGATCTTTAGATGTTCCTGAGATCCTTAAAAAGGGACCTGTGAAGTTAAAACAATTTGTCATACTACTGTTAAGACATTGTCCTTTTAACTCGAGTGTAGAATGGAGTTCTCCTGAGGTGTAATACATAATGTGATACTGCAATAGATTGAATAAAGCAGATATAAGAATCTGTCTCCTACGAAGCCAGACATGAAATACATTTGCAGAAATGTAAAACCATTGTCCTCATAATTTTTTGTTTTGGAAAAATTATTTTTTTAGAGACAGGGTCTTGCTCTGTTGCCCAGGCTGGAGTGCAGTGGTGCAATCACAGCTCACTGAAGACTCGAACTCCCAGGCTCAAGCCATCCTCCCATCTCAGCCTCTCAAGTAGCTGGAACCACAGGTACACGCAGGCTGGGCTTATTTATTTTTTGAGACAGAGTTTTGCTCTTGTTGCCCAGGCTGGAGTGCACACATTACAGGTGTGAGCCACTGTGCCTGGCTCAAGTTTTTTTTTTTAATAAAAATGTTACTTATATAAACATGACATGTCATTTTAAAATATTCTAGCAACTTTTTTTTTTTGAGACAGTCTTGCTCTGTCGCCCAGGCTGGAGTGCAGTGGTGTGATGTCACTTACTGCAACCTCTGCCTCCCGTCCAAATTCTCCTGCCTCAGCCTCCCGAGTAGCTGGGATTATAGATACCTGCCACCATGTCCAGCTAATTTTTTTTTGTATTTTTAGTGGAGATGGGGTTTCACCATGTTCGCCAGGCTGGTTTCAAAATCCTGACCTCAGCTGATCAGCCCACTTCGGCCTCCCAAAGGGCTGGGATTACA
Organism: Homo sapiens; assembly: GCF_000001405.40. Taxonomy (NCBI): domain Eukaryota; kingdom Metazoa; phylum Chordata; class Mammalia; order Primates; family Hominidae; genus Homo; species Homo sapiens. Next base: position 112,404,317 of record NC_000012.12, read on the forward strand.
GGTTGAGCCATGGCACCCAGCCTTTTTTCACCTTTTTTGGACACAGGGTCTGTCATCCAGGATGGTGTGCAGTGGTGAAATCACAGGTCACCACAGCCTGGACCTCCTAGGCTCAAGTGAGCCTCCTGGCCCCACCTCCCAAAATGTGGGGGTTTCAGGTGGAAGCCAGCACACACAGCCCATTTTTCATTTTCCATTGGCAAAAATCCAAGTTTGATAACCTACCTATAAGAAGATGGGTACTCTGTACATTTCCAGAACAAATAAAGTGGTCTAACACTTGGGAGTGTTTGGAAGAATCTGCCAAAATTAAAATGCACAAATCTGGCAGGGTGTGGTGGCTTATGCCTATAATCCCAATACCTTGAGGTCTAGGCAGGAGGATAGCTAGAGCCCAGGAGTTGAACCAGCCCAGGCAATAGGAACTGGGGCCATATGTGATAAACGTGCCCATGAACAGCCACTGCACTGGCCTGGGAAACAAGAGCACGGCCTCATAATTATTGGGGAGGAGTTGAGAATTGAGCACAGCGGGGAGAAATGGGAGTTTGTTGTCTGAGTAGTCAGCAGTTATTCTCTTCTCTCATCCATGTACAGTTTAGCACTGACTTCTTCAGGGACGAGTGAGAAAATGCCACCACTTCACAATGGTAGAGGGTGGGTGAAAAAGTTATTAGCCAGGCACCAAGAACCAATCTGAAGCCAAGAACAGCAATGCAAAGCCAACAAACTAGCTCTCTTGTAGACACCACTCCCTTCCAATCCCATTCTCTACTAAGGAAAACCCCCAGGTGAGCTGGCATGGTCAAACTACACCTTCAGGTAGGTAAGAATTTTTTTTAAAAACCAAAAATTAAAAAAAGAGACACAAAATGTAGTCAGCTATTTAATTAGGTTCTTAAGACATTTAGAACACCAATTTGTGAGGATAAATTCCATTCGTCAGAGCAAACACAGATCGCAGGTAGCCCTGGAGCTGAGGAATAGCTTTGATTTTTGGTAAAATTTGTGAGTCCACAGCTTTCTGATCAATCTTGCGCTGCTCCGTAATCTCATATTTCTAAATAAAGAGAAAATCAAACATTTTAAAACAGGCACATACCAAATTACTTGTAGGTCAACTAAGGAGTCCTGTCTCACAAGTACTAATCCCCAAGAATATTTAGAAAACATTAAAGACAATTTTGACAATCCTTTCCTTGGAATGCTGTGAAACACAACCCATTTTTTAATGTAATAAAAGTAGCTCTTAAGCTTTTGTATACTTTAGGACACATCAAGGATAAGTAAGGGCACATTCCCAATACGATGGTAGCAGTTAATTCCCACACAATTCCACCAAACTTTAGGATTCTAAGTTGAGCTCCCAGACTGCCAAAAGAACTACTCAATTTAGAAGAATCTGGAATACTAAGTATCTCCCAGCATTCCTCATTATTTAACCTTTCATTTTTCTTCTTTTTGTGCAACCTGTTTCTTTTCACTCCCAGGTAGAAGGGCCAGTGCTAACACAGGAGATGACAAGTAGAAACTTACCTCTTTTTCTGTGTCGAAGATCTCACCTTCCTGGTGTCTGGGCTTCCGCAGCTTCTTCTTCTTGAAGTAAGCATCAGTAAGATGTTTTGGGATTTTTACATTGCTGATATCGATTTTGGTTGAAGTGGCAATGACAAATTTCTGGTGTGTTCTTCGTAGAGGAACTCGATTGAGGACCAGAGGTCCTAAGGGGGAAAAATTAATTTAGCAAGGAAAAGGGGGAAGAATCATCATCCTGCAATTTAGGTGACCATTACTTGTTATGTTGCTACACAAAGAAGACCACTTGTCTAACCCACTTGCACACAAGGCAATGAAATGGGCCTCAGACACTTGTGGCAATAAGTGTCTACCATGTAGGCAGTAGCAAACAAACGTGTATACTGCAAGCATTTAAAAATGGAAGTTTCACAGAACATCACAATCCAAGGATTTTCTTACCAGTCACAAGTAATAAGCCACTAGCCAGCTGCTTCAGGAAAACCACCCTCTGTAAGTTAAAAAGAAAATAATTAGTTTTCTGCAATTAAAAACTGACTTCTGAATTCATAAAATCACAGGCATCTAAATTTGGGTAAAGGAAATTTCTACATGTATATGTATACAGCTCGGCAGTTCTGGAAGCAACCACAGCAAGCTACTAAGGTAGTACTCCAGACATAAACACGTTTTTGAGTAAATGAACATGTGTAACATAATCAACAGCAGGAAATGGCTAATAAATCACCATGGATTACACTTCTTATTTGCAACAACTAAGTTGTATCTTGCAGATCATTTCCCCTTGCCCCAAACATAGGTAAATAAAGGAAAAGTACACCTAGCGTGCAAACGCATTGCCACCAGGCACCCCAGGCAGCTGCAGTGAAGCGCCCCAAGCACAGGTACTCTCACCTTGCCCCTGTGGCGTCCAGTGAGGATGATCAGAATGGTCCCGGGGGTAATGCTGGCTCGCAGTTTTCTCACGTGCTGACTGAAGGGTTTTTTGCCGTGGCTCAACAGCTTTCGAGGCACATCTTCAGTAGGATAATATCTAGGCTGTGGAGAGTCCATAGATCCAACTTATTTAAATAAGCCATTCAGATTACTAGAAGCAAGCTATGTCAGCCAAACTTTTGCTACAGCCTTTTTATTTTAAAGTATAATACTGTATTTATATGATTCCATTTTCATTTCTGCTAAGTAGACTTGGAAAAGGTCAATTATGCTTCTGCATCCTGTGTGCAAAAAAGGAGACACCATTTAATGAATGAGATGTGTGCTCAAGCAAAGAAAGCATCAAGCAAGTCACCTTTGCAATCTTGAGCAAAAACTAAACCTCAGAGATTACACGTGTGACATGCCACATTTTGCAGATTAGGGATACATGGCTTGTTTTCCAATTCAAGTAAAGTGTGTCCATATCCTAGCCACTTCATCTGATCCTCACAGCAACAAGTCTTACTCCCACTTCATCCACAAAGGAAAACAAATTGCATAAAGCCAGACACTAGGACTGGCAGATCATTTATTGCAGAAGTTAGACACCATGCAAGGGCCATTAAAGACATGACTACAAATAACTCACAATAACCTATTTCCAACTATACCATATCATTAGTGCAGTCTCACTTTCACCACAAACATGATCACCTAATGGGAAAACGAGTTCACAAAACAACTGTCATCTTCCCTCTCATGCAGTAATCTTCAACTGTGAAACTGTATGGTGTTAACTTATTTGGGAATGTTCCCATAATGAAAATTACAGAGCAAATCCTGAGATTACATTGGGTCTTGTGTGTGGTAAAGGGGGCCAAGAAACACTGCTCTAGTGGGAAATGTTCTATAGAACAGGCTATGTATTATTTCATTTAATCTCCATAAAAACTCTTTGAGGTAAACCCTCATTCCCATCTTATCTTTTTTTGAGATGAAGCCTCCCTCTGTCGCCCAGGCTGGAGTGCAGTAGTGCAATCTCTGCCTCCCGGGTTCAAGCGATTCTTCTGCCTCAGCCTCCAGAGCAGCTGGGACTACAGGCACGCAACCAGCTAATTTGTATATTTTTACTAGAGATGTGGTTTCACCATGTTGGCCAGGCTGGTCTTGAACTCCTGACCTCAGGTGATCTGCTCGCCTCAGCCTCCCAAAGTGCTGGGATTACAGGCATTAGCCACCACACTCAGCCTCATTCCCATATTATATGCAAAGGAACAAAGCACAGACGAGTAATTTAAATTACTTAAGATTAACAGTAAATGTTGAAGCCAAGTTACAAACCCAGAGCCCTTTATTTTCTATCAGAAATTCTCCGGTATGCAGAAACTTACAGTATCTAAGTATTCAAAAACATCTTCACAGTATTCAAGCATAAACAGAAAATCCAATTTACAGTCCCCACATCTTACCATTTTGCGAAGTTTAACCACCCGGGTACCGCCGTTCTTGTCACCACCAACTGGTTTTGTAACAGTTGCGAGAACCTTCTCCTTCTTTTTCTTTTCAACCTACAAGGACACAAATGCATCAACAGTAAGAGAATGCCAATTAAGGTTAAGACATAATGGTCCGTGGTCCTCTTCCCTTACCTTGGATTTAGCGGCTGAGTACTTCCTCTTGTACATGGCCTTTCTGGAATACATGGCAGATCGGGAATACCTGCCAATTCCTCTGACAAGGACAGGGTTGCGGCTGCAATGGGGCTTCCCCTTCTTGGGCTTTTTAGCTTTGAGGTTACCCTTTTTCACCTTGCCACCAGCATCAACCTTCTTGGCTTCGGGTTTCTTCTCTTTAGTATCTGGCTTCTCAACTTTTTCACCCGCCATCTAAAAATATTTTTTTGTAGATAAAAAAAGGCATTTCACCAGTCATCTCTCTAACAAGACAATAATGAACCTGTACATGAATGGGCTGGGCTCCCCAGACTACAATCCCTCCCCCGGTAAGATACAGGCCTTCCTCTCAAACTCTACCCATTCTACTCCAACCTTCACTATGACTCATTTGGGGTTTGTCTCCCCAATACACTATAAACTTTTTTTTTGAGAATTTGAAACTACCTCACACCTATTAGGTTTTTTGCCAAATACTGAGCGGTCAGAAGTCCGTACAACCATTATTTTTTATTACTGTTTTGCGAATTAGAAAACTTAGATGCAGAATGTGTCCACAGGTTAGAAGCACCAAGACCAGAACTTGAAATCCCTTACTTTCAGTACCTTTCGTCTTAACCCTTAAGACCAGTGTCTCTTTTCAAGAAACTCGATTTAGGAATTGCGGACACAAACGGAATCAGCCCAAATTGAGCCAGAGAAAAAGATCGCAAAGACCAAGAGGCGACTTCCGGTCGGGGACGCTGGGAGACGCGAAACCTTTTGGCTTCAGTGCGGAACCCCAACGTGGCTGCGACAGGCTCAGTGTCATCCTCTGGAACCCAGGACCAGGAACACAGTGCACGCGCCGTCTCCCCGCTTCCTCTAACACCCACCAGTCTGCTACGGGTCCCCGAAAGGGCCTCGTTCCCCCAGCCCAAGAGAGTGGCGAAGAACCGGAGGGAGCCACTACGGCATTCTACCTCACCCTCTTTGTGCCCTGCCGCAAACCCAAACAACAAAAATGAAGCGTCTGGAAGGCCTCTCAGTTAGCCTTGGACATGTCCGACCCCTGTAGGTGTCGACTGGATGCCCTCCAGGTTCGGATGGCGAAGGATTGGGAGTCCTGAACTCAAGTCTTGCAGACAGGCCCGCGATTCTTACCTTGCAAGATGGGAAAGAGAATTAAGGTCCCGGCTTCCGGTCTATAAGCAATCATGGGAAGTGCGAGTCTCACTTCCTTCCGGATCTGGGGCATCATGGGGAATGTAGTATTTCCCCGTTAAGAAAAAAGTAGTAAATCCTAGGCCGGGTGCGGTGGCTCACGCCTGTAATCCCAGCCCTTTGGGAGGCCGAGGCAGGAGGATCCTCTGAGGTTGGCAGTTCGAGACCAGCCTGGCCAACATGGTGAAATCCCGTCTCTACTAAAAATACAAAAGGTAGCCGGGCGTGGGTGGTGCGTGTCTGTAATGACAGCCAGTCGAGGCGCGGAGGCAGGAGAATCACTTGAATCTGGAGGTGGAGATTGCAGTGAGCCAAGATCGCGACACTGCGCTCTAGGCAACAGAGCAAGATTCTCAAAAAAGAAAAAAAAAAAAAAAAGGGCCGGACACGGTGGCTCACGCCTGTAATCCCAGCACTCCAAAGATCGTGCCACTGCGTGCCACCGCACTCCAGCCTGGGAAATAGAGCCAGACTCAGTCTCAAAACAATAACAACAACAAAAAAAAGAAAAAAAGAAAAAAAATTAGCCGAGTGTGGTTGTTAGTGCCTGTAGTCCCAGCTATTCGGGAGGCTAAGGCGGGAGGATCACTTGAGTCTTGGAGGTCTGGGCTGCAGTGCAGTGAACTCTAATCTTGTCACTTGAGATTAGGTCAGTGGTCCCCTCTTCCCTTACCTTGGATTTAGCGGCTGACTACTTCCTCTTGTACATGGCCTTTCTCATTCCCGTCCTCCGGCCTGGCCTACAGAATGAGACTCTGTCTTAAAAAAAGTAAAAAAAAATTAAAGTGAGGATAACAATAGTAACTTACTTCATAAGGATGTTGGGAACATTAAATAATATATACAACAGTACTGAGAAGCATATTTGATTATTTGATGGATGGTAAATGCTACATAAGTGTTAGCTCTTTTTTTTTTTTTTTTTTTTTTTTTTTTTTTTTTTTTGAGATGGAGTCTCGCTCTGTCACCCAGGCTGGAGTGTGGTGGCACGATCTTGGCTCACGGCAACCTCTGCCTCCTGGGTTCAAGTGATTCTCCTGCCTCAGCCTCCCAAGTAGCAGGGATTACAGGCGCACACCACCATGCCCAGCTAATTTTTTGTATTTTTAGTAGAGACAGAGTTTCACCATGATGGCCAAGCTGGTTTTGAACTCCTGACCTCAAGTAATCCACCCGCCTCAGCCTCCCAAAGTGCTAGGATTACAGGCGTGAGCCACCGCACCTGGCGAACTGTTAGCTCTTGTTATTGTCACCATCACCACTACAATCATCTGATCATCAACATCCTAGTTGTTGTCAAGTATTCTGCTAAAGTTTATGCATGGGAGATAATAGGCAATATTGCATACAATGTGCCTTGCTTTATTTCATTTAATTCTCCCAACAACCTGTGAATGATACTATTATGAGGAAACTGAGTCTCAAGGACATTAAGTAACTTGCTCACAGCATAGATCTGATTCCAAAGATTGCACTCTTAACCATTAGGCTGCAAGATTAAAGAGATGATTAATGAAGATGCATGAGAGTTTTGCTCATGTTAGAATTAAAAATAAGAATATTTATTATCTTTTACAAAATACACAACACAGTATATGTGATAGTTCTTTACTGCTTCAAAGCCCTTAAGCCAACATGTACACATTTGTAATACCTTCTAGCTTGCGTTTTCCATTTTCCTCCATTCGTTTCTTTCTGGTTGCTAGAGCTTTTCACCTTGATTTTTTCAGATCGAAACCACCTGCTTCATGGCTGTGTCTCTGGGAATCATTTAGCCTTTTTCTGGTTCTGATTCACTGAGGATACAAATACAATGATCAGATGAACACTGCCCTTTTTTTTGAGAATGGGAATGTCAGCAGCTTTATTTGTTTAGCTTCCTCAGCAAAGCACCTCTTAGAAACTTCAACTGCAGAAAATGTACCACAATGAATGAATGAGATGCACAGTTGCTTACGTGGGCCCCTCAAAATTGCTGGCAATCTCAGATAATTTCACCTAGTGAACGCCCCAAAATATGTGTTGAATGACCTGTCATTAAAATAAAAACGTAGATGAACCCCCTCTTGTGTTTTGTTGCGGTATTGCAAAATTTACAATTCATTAGTTGGGCAAAATACCATGTTAGTTATAAAGTAAATGTTTTTATTAAGTTTAGTTTTGCCATATATAAAATTCTCTGAAATTTGTGCAGCACTTTAATCACAAAGCAGACATTTTTGCAGACACTTAATCTTTTTTTTTTTTTTCTGAGATGGAGTCTTGCTCTGTCGCCCAGGCTGGAGTGCAGTGCCGTGATCTTGGCTCACTGCAACCTCTGCCTCCTGGGTTCAAGCCATTCTCCTGCCTCAGCCTCTTGAGTAGCTGGGATTACAGGTGCCCGCTACCACACCTGGCTAATTTTTTTTTTTGAAACAGAGTCTTGCTCTTTTGCCCAGGCTGGAGCGCGGTGGCATGATCTCGGCTCACTGCAACCTTCGCCTCCCGGGTTCACGCCATTCTCCTGCCTCAGCCTCCCGAGTAGCTGGGACTACAGGCGCCCGCCACCATGCCTGACTAATTTTTTGTATTTTTAGTAGAGGTGGGGTTTCACTGTGTTAGCCAGGATGGTCTCGATCTCCTGACCTCGTGATCTGCCCGCCTCGACCTCCCAAAGTGCTGGGATTACAGGCCTGAGCCACCTTGCCCGGCCAATTTTTTGTGTTTTTATTGGAGACAGGATTTCACCATGTTGGCCAGGCTGGTTTTGAACTCCTGACCTCAGGTGATCTGCTCACCTCGGCCTCCCAAAGTGCTGGGATTACAGGCGTGAGCCACCTCGCCCAGCCTAATTTTTTTTTTTTTTTGGAGACAGAGTCTCGCTCTGTCGCCCAGGCTGGAATGCAAGGTGAGATCATGGCTCACTGCAGCCTTGACCTCCTGGGTTCAAGCAATCCTCCCACCTCAGCCCCCTGAGTAGCTGGGAGTACAGTGCACACCACCATACCTGGCTAATTTTTTTACATTTTTTGTAGAGACAGGGTCTCACAATGTTGCCTCAGCTGTATTTTTTGTTTGTTTGTTAGGCAGTAAATCTTTTAAAGCCTGGCCAACATGGTGAAACCCCATCTCTGCTAAAAATACAAAAATTAGCCAGGCATGGTGGTGCATGCCTGTAATTCCAGCTACTTGGGAGGCTGAGGCACGAGAATCACTTGAACCCGGGAGGCAGAGGTTGCAGTGAGCCGAGATTGTGCCACTGCACTCCAGCCTGGGCCACACAGTGAGACTCTGTCTCAAATAAATAAATAAATAAATAAATAAATAAATAAATAGAAAAATATCTTTATATGTGTTATGTATGTGTGTGAGCCTGTGTATGGGATGAGTTTGTGTGTTTGTATATGTATAAAGTGTGGAAAGACATACACCAAACCATTAACACTGCTGGGGATTGGGATATGGAGTACGTATGCATCAAGGAACAGAGAAAATTACTGTTTGTTATTTAGTTTGTTGCAAGGAACTTGTATTGCTTTTGTAATTGAGAAAGAAATTCAAATAAAGTAATGGCTATTATCTGAATTAATCTCTAAATGAATATATCTTTTTAAAATTAAGATGGAGTTGGCCGGGTGCGGTGGCTCACGCCTGTAATCCCAGCACTTTGGGAAGCCAAGGCAGGTGGATCACGAAGTCAGGAGATCGAGACCATCCTGGCTAACACGGCGAAACCCCGTCTCTACTAAAAAATACAAAAAAATTAGCCGGGCATGGTGGCGGGTGCCTGTAGTCCCAGCTACTCGGGAGGCTGAGGCAGGAGAATGGTGTGAACCCGGAAGGCAGAGTTTGCAGTGAGCCGAGATTGTGCCACTGCACTCCAGCCTGGGCGACAGAGTGAAGACTCCATCTTAAAAAGTAAATAAATAATAATAATAAAATAATTCAGATTGAGGTTTTTTTGTTTTGTTTTGTTTTGTTTTGTTTTTGCTATGTTGCCCAGGCTGCCAGTCTGGTCTCAAACTCCTGTCTCAAGAGATCCTCCTGTTAGCTACCATGCCCGGCCATATAAATGAATATGCCAGGCACTACTCCAGGCATATAAAGATGGGAAGACCGGCCGGACATGGTAGCTCATGCCTGTAATCCTAGCACTTTGGGAGGCGGAGGCAGGATGATTGTTTGAGCCCAGGGGTTTTAGACCAATCTGGGTAACATGGCAAAACCCTGTCTGTATTAAAAAAAAAAAAAAAGGAAGACAATGACTTTGTCTTAAAAGGAGATCATAATCTAAAGAAAGACACAGAACAACAATGACAGAACCCACAATGATGTTGAAATGTGTTAGGTGCTGATAGAAGCATGAAGAGGCAGCCCCAGGAGCATAGGAAAGGAGTCTCTCTTTTATTCTCAAAAAGTGAAAGAATGTTTTCTGGAGGAGCTGCTTAAGTTGGAGTTTAACCTTGCATGACTGTTTTCCAGGTGGAGAAGGGTTTGAAGAGTATTCCAGGCAGTAGGAACTAAATTTTGGAAGACAGGGATGCAAGAAACAGCTAGAAGCCTTTAGAAACTGCTAGATTATGTGAGGGTGTTGGCACAGGCCATATCTAGAACGGACTGATGTGCTAAGGGAAGGAGTTCAACTTAATGCTAGAGGGTTTGAACCTCCTTCATACAACAGGGGAGGGGAGTGACGTGATTAGATTTGTATTTTTAAAAGATTATTCATTCTAGCTGCAGAGTGTGCAGAATATAGGAAACACTAGGAAGGTAGTAGTTCCTGCACTCAAAGAGCTAATAGTTTACTTTGGAAAAGAGACAAATGATAGCCAGCTTTTATCAAGTGCTGACTTTGCCAGACACTGTTCTGAGTATTTCACAAACCTATCCTATGGTAGGATTTTGATTCCTACTTTGCAGAGAAGGAAACAGACACAGAGGAGTCAAATGACTTGCTTATAGACACCCAGGCAGCTAGATCAAGAACTTAATTGGCAGCCAGGCGCCGTGGCTCACGCCTGTAATTCCAGCACTTTGGGAGGCCGAGTCGGGTGGATCACGAGGTCAGGAGATCAAGACCATCCTGGCTAATGCGGTGAAACCCTGTCTCTACTAAAAAAATACAAAAAATTAGCCGGGCGTGGTGGCAGGTACCTGTAGTCCCAGCTACTTGGGAGGCTGAGGCAAGAGAATGGCGTGAACCCAGGAGGCGGTGCTTGCAGTGAGTCGAGATCACGCCACTGCACTCCAGCCTGGGAGACAGAGTGAGACTGTCTAAAAAAAAAAACAAAACAAAAAAAACCCACAAAACTTAATTGGATGCTTCCTATATGATACGGCTCTTAGATTTATAGTGTAGCATGTTAGGTTCTAAGGATAGGTGTCTTGGTGACCATCTGACCTGCACTAGAGAATCGGGTGAGGCTTGTATTCCAGAGGAAGTGGCTCCTAGCCTGAGATCAGAGGCATAGAGTTGATGTGGAGGACAGTCAGGAAGAACCCTCTGGGGAAAGAAAGCAGATTGTTAAAAGGCTCTACGCTGGGAAAGAATATGGCATATTGAGGGGAGCTGAAAGTCATTCAGCATGGCTGGGTCATAGAGAATGAAGCGAGTAGTGGGGAGACGGGGTGGTGAAGTGATTGGGGACCAGAGTTAAAAAAACTCTGGTGCATTGGCTCACGCCTGTAAATCCAAGGCCTTGGGAGGTCAAAGTGGGAGGACTGCTTGAGGCCAGGAGTTCAAGGCCAGCCTGGGCAACATAGCAAGACCTTGGGTCTAAAAAAATTTTTTTAAACTTTTTTTTGGGCCGGGCATGGTGGCTCACGCCTGTAATCCCAGCACTTTGGGAGGCTGAGGTGGGTGGATCACTTGAGGTCAGGAGTTGGAGACCAGCCTGGCCAACATGGCGAAACCCTGTCTCTACTAAAGATACAAAAAAAATTAGCTGGGCATGGTTGTGCGTGCCTGTAATCCCAGCTACTTGGGAGGCTCAGGCAGGAGAATTGCTTGAATCTGGGAGGTGGAGTTTGCAGTGAGCCGGGATTGCGCCACTGCACTCCAGCCTGGGTAACAGAATGAGACTCCAACTCAAACAAAACAAAAAACTTTTTTTTTTTTGTAGGGACAGGGGTCTTACTCTGTTGCCCAGGCTGTTCTTGAACTCTTTGGGCTCAAGAAATCCTCCCACCTAGGAGTCCCAAAACACTGGGATTACAGAGGTGAGCCACCACATCCAGGGGGATAAACCTTTTTTTTTTTTTTTTGGACTTCATTCTAAAATCAAGGAGAAGCCATTGGTGAATTCAATGTAGGGAGTGACTAGTTTTGCAGTTTTTTTTTTTTTTTTTTTTGAGATGGAGTCTCGCTCCGACGCCCAGGTGGGAGTGCAGTGGCGCAATCTTGGCTCACTGCAAGCACCACTTCCTGGGTTCAAGCAATTCTCTTGCCTCAGCCTCCTGAGTAGCTGGGACTACAGGTGCCTGCCACTGCACCCAGCTAAATTTTGTATTTTTTTTTTTTTTTTTTTTTTTTGAGACAGAGTCTCGCTCTGTTGCCCAGGCTGGAGTGCAGTGGTGTGATCTTGGCTCACTGCAAGCTCCACCTCCTGGGTTCACGCCATTCTCCTGCCTCAGCCTCCCGAGCAGCTGGGACTACAGGTGCCCACCACCACGCCCAGCTAATCTTTTGTATTTTTAGTAGAGATGGGGTTTCACTGTGTTAGCCAGGATGGTCTCGATCTCCTGACCTCGTGATCCGCCCGCCTCAGCCTCCCAAAGTGCTGGGATTACAGGCGTGAGCCACCGCGCCCAGCCCTAAATTTTGTATTTTTAGTAGAGATTGTGTTTGACCATGTTGGCCAGGCTGGTCTCAAACTCCTGACCTCAGGTGATCCACCCACCTTGGCCTCCCAAAGTGCTGGGATTACAGGTGTAAGCCACCGCACTTGGCCACAGTTAATTGTATTTTTAGTAGAGACGAGGGTTCACCATGTTGGCCAGACTGGCCTCAAACTCCTGACCTCAGGTGATCCACCTGCCTTGGCCTCCCAAAGTGCTGGGATTACAGGCATGAGCTACCGCGCCCCGAGTGACCCGCCTAGTTTTGTAGTTTAGATTACTCTGGCTACTATGTGGAGATTGGATTAGGAAGTTTAGGCCTGCAGGCCTGAGATCAGTTAAAATGTAGCTTGTCATCTAGCTGGCCAGGATTTAGGGAGAGGGACAACTGCTTGTTAAATGGCTCTTATGTGAATTAAATTGGCATATATTAAAGGTGATCTTTGTAAGGAGCACATGATGCTGAAGCAGTTAGCACACAGTATGAGACTCACTTGTATATGAATGAAATGGGCAAGCATTAAAAAAATGAGGATTTTGGAGCTATACAGATATGGGTTAAACTTATGGCTCTGCCATTCACTAGATCTGTAGCCTTTATTTATTTATTTTTGAGAAAGAGTCTCACCCTGTCACCCAGGCTGGAGCGCAGTGGTGCAGTCTGGGCTCACTGCAACCTCTGCCTGTCCGGTTCAAGCAATTCTCCCACCTCAGCCTCCGGAGTAGCTGGGACTACAGGTGTGCGCCACCAAGCCCGACTAATCTTTGTATTTTTAGTTGAGACGGGGTCTCACCATGTTGGCCAGGCTGGTCTTGAACTCCTGACCTCAAGTGATCTGCTCTCCTTGGCCTCCCAAAGTGCTGGGATTACAGGCGTGAGCCACCACGCTCAGCTAGATCTGTAGCCTTCAATGAGTCATATGCGCATCAATCAAGTAAAAGCTCTACTCTTCTCAATCTGGTCTGAGCTACCATTATTCCCAGACCAGAATACTATAGTATTCCGTATTTTGACTGGCTTCTCTGTTTCTGGCCTTGCTCTCTTGCTCGAGCTTCACAGAGTGTCCAAAGTAATACTTCCGTACCACCCGGCCCGGCTTTTTTTTTTTTTTTTTTTTTTTTTTTTAAGAGACATGGTCGCACCATGTTGCCCAGGCTGGTCTTGAACTCCTAGGCTCAAGCAATCCTCCTGCCTCAGCCTCCCAAAGTTCTGGGATGAAGGCGTGAGCCACCATACCTGGCCTGAGTGCAGTGGCGCGATCTCGGCTTTCAGCAGCCTCGACCTTCCAGGCTCAAGCAATCCTCTCACCTCAGCCTCCCGAGTAGCTGGGACTACAGGCGCGCGCCACCACGCCCGGCTAATTTTTGTATTTTTTGTAGAGATGGGATTTCACTATTTTGCCCGGGCTGGTTCCCAACTCCTGGACTCAAGCGATTCGCCCGCCTCAGCCTCCCAAAGGGAAGTGCTGGGATTTCAGGCGTGTGCCACCGCTCCCACCCCAAAGTAGTATTTATTGTAATTATTATTATTATTTTGAGACGGAGTCTCGCTCTATTGCCAGGCTGGAGTGCAGTGGCGCGATCTCGGCTCAATGCAACCTCTGCCTCCCGGGTTCAAGCGATTCTCCTGCTTCAGACTCCCAAGCAGCTGGGACTACAGGCGCCCCCCACCACGCCAGGCTAATTCTTGAATTTTTAGTGGAGACGGGGTTTCACCATGTTGGCCAGGATGGTCTCGATCTCTTGACCTCGTGATCCGCCCACCTCGGCCTCCCAAAGTGCTGGGATTACAGGCGTGAGCCACCGCGCCCAGCCTATTATTATTTTTTTAGGCAGTGTCTTGCCCTGTCGCTCAGGGTGTAGTGCAGTGGCGTGATCACGACTCACTGCAGCCCCGACTTCTCGGGCTTAAGTTATCTTCCCGCCGCAGCCTCCACGCCCGGTTAGTTTTTTGCATTTTTTGTAGAGATGAGGTCTTGCTTTTTTGCCCAGGCTGGCCTCGAACTCCTTGGCTTAAGCGAACCTCTTGCCGCAGCCTCCCAAAGTGTTGGGATTACGGGCGTGAACCACCGCGCCCAGCCTACTATCTTTATCTTACAGAAAGAAAAGAATGGAGGAAACCGAGGCTCGGAGACAGTAGGTAATTTCCCCAAGGTTCCACAGCTAATGAGTGGAGCGGCGATTTGTGGAACGAAATGAATGAAATCGATGTGGCAGCGGGCCCGGACGGGTCGGTGGCGTAGACGCGGAGCGCGCAGCTCACACCTGGCGGCCGCGGTTTCCAGGAGGAAGCAAGGATGCTTTGGACACTGTGCGTGGCGCCTCCGCGGAGCCCCCGCGCTGCCATTCCCGGCCGTCGCTCGGTCCTCCGCTGACGGGAAGCAGGAAGTGGCGGCGGGCGTCGCGAGCGGTGACATCACGGGGGCGACGGCGGCGAAGGGCGGGGGCGGAGGAGGAGCGAGCCGGGCCGGGGGGCAGCTGCACAGTCTCCGGGATCCCCAGGCCTGGAGGGGGGTCTGTGCGCGGCCGGCTGGCTCTGCCCCGCGTCCGGTCCCGAGCGGGCCTCCCTCGGGCCAGCCCGATGTGACCGAGCCCAGCGGAGCCTGAGCAAGGAGCGGGTCCGTCGCGGAGCCGGAGGGCGGGAGGAACATGACATCGCGGAGGTGAGGAGCCCCGAGGGGCCCGGCGCGGGCCTCGGCCCGGCCACCGCCGCGTTCGGTTAGCCCCGTCCGGAAGGGGGCGCCCCGGCCGGGCTTCGGGCTCCCGCCCCGGGTCGGGGTTGGGGGCCGGTTCCCTCCTCGTCCCCTCGCCCTCCAGGGGCCGGGGGCCGGCCCCACCGCGCCCCCACCCCTCGGGTCCCCATTCATTTCCTGCCTCCCCGAGTTCCGGCTGCGGCAGCCCCGGGGATGCCCGTCAGGCCCGGGGCAGGTAGAGCCGCCGAGGGAACCACGGGTGCCAGCGGCCAGGCTCAGCGCCGCATTCCTGACCCATTGCCTCATGAGAATTGCCTCATGGTGATTCCGAAATAACCCTGCTCACTTGGGGAGGCTCCTTGGGACACGAGAGGGGAGTTGCGCGGGGCCGGGCCCCCAGTGGTCTAGTCGTTCTGGCTCACTGTGCCACTTTCGTGCATTTGGGGACTTCACGCAGGACCCCTGACCCTTTTATATGCCTCTTTGTGTCTTCTTTTCCTCCTACCCCTCACGTGCCAGAAATGGAAAAACTGACTGTATCTGCAGCCACTAGAAGTATTTCCTTCCTCTGCGATCTTCGCTTTGGGAGATGGAAAGGAAGGGAGCCGCATCTCGTTATTTAATCCTTCACTGCAACCTTAACAGTCAGGTCACTTTACTGGTACCCGTTTTATGGATGAGGAAACCGAGGCCCAGAAGCAACATGCTAGTAAATGACAAGATTTGAAACTTAGGAGGATTAGTGAGTTAATGAGATCCTTTGAAAGGTCAGGGTAATACTACTACTAATAGCTAACATTTGCTTAGTTCTGACCACAGCCCTATCAGATGGCTACTATTATCCCCATTGTAAAGATGAGTAAACCGAGTTTCAGAGGTTAAGTAAATTGCCTAACCTCACAGCTAGTAGGTGGTGGAGACAGAATCCCTACTTTTAATCACTATGTTGCTTCTATTATTTTGTAACTATTGCTAACCATTTGTAAGCCTTAATTTTGTTGTCAAACAGTAGTGTGACCTGTTGTTTTCAGATAGTGATCCTGCTATTTTGTATAGTCACTCTATATACCACTCACACTTAAGACCCATTGTCTATTCTTTTCCATGATTGTTCAATTATGGTCACTGTCTCAGACATTTAAAAAACGATTCAAGCTATTGAGGCTATTTGAATGAGATTTTCTTTTCTTTTTTTCTTTTTTTTTTTGGAGACGGAGGCTCACTCTGTTGCCCAGGCTGGAGTGCAGTGGCGCAATCTCGGCTCACCACAATCTCCGCCTCCTAGGTTCAAGCGATTCTCCTGCCTCAGCCTCCCAAGTAACTAGGACTACAGGCGCACCACTATGCCCGGCTAATTTTTGTATTTTTAGTAGAGACAGGGTTTCACTATGTTGGCCAGGCTGGTCTCAAACTCCTGACCTCGTGATCCGCCCGCCTTGGCCTCCCAAAGTGCTGGAATTACAGGCGTGAGCCACCGTACCCAGCCTGAATGAGATTTTTCAAAATATTAGGAATGTCTCCTCCAAACACACCTGGCATGTTATTCATACATGGATCTGGAATTTAAAAAGGGGAGAAAAAGAAAACTGAGAACTCGTAGGAAGTGAGTGACTTGGACAGGTCGGTTGGCAAGTGCTTACAGATCTGGGTAATATATAACTGCATTTCAACAGAACAGTGTATAGCCTCAAATGTTCTAATTCTTTAGGGAGCTTTTAAATAAACAGTTGTCTATTCTTTAATCTGTCAAATAGTCATTGAGCCTTTTGTTCCTGGTGTCTGCTCTTCCAGACAAGTAAGGATCTGCTGCTTTAGGAGACATCAGACGGGGCTGGGGGTTGGGAAAAGGTCTGGGTAGTAATAGACCCTACATTGTCCAGTTTGTTCATTTAGAAGCATAGAAGTGTGGGCATAGTCAAAGTAGCAAGTGGTAAAGATGACAGTTTGAAATGGAGTAATTCCTTCTCCCCTCCAGCCCTGGTATTATGCACCACCCAAAAAGCCGGGTTATGAACATAATACACATAATTTTGAATGATTCATTATTTTTTGGATTATAAGCCTGTTTTATTTGTTAACCAGCCTTAATGAGGTATAAATGACATGCAATTAATTGCATATATTTAAATGTACAATTTGATCAGTTTTGACATACATATACACTTGGGAAACCACCACCATAGTCAAGATAATGAACACATCTATCACCCCTGGTAATTTTGCCTTATGTTCTTTATAATCCTTCCTTTGTTCTTAGGCAGCCACTATTCTGCTTTCTGTCACTATGTATTAGTTTGCATTTCCTAGAATTTTATTTTTAAAAATTTTAAAATTGTTTGAATAGAGATGGGGTCTCACTGTGTTGCCCAGGGCAGTCTCAAACTCCTGGGTTCAAGTGATCCTCTCACCTTGGCCTCCTGAAGTGTTGGGATTATAGGCATGAGACACCCTGCCCAGCCCTAGAATTTTATTATTATTGTTATTATTGTGTTTTTTTGAGATAGGGTCTCACTTTGTTGCCCAGGCTGGAGTGCAGTGGTGCAATCACTGCAGCCTTGTTTTCCTAGGCTCAATCCATCCCCCCTCCTCAGCTTTCCGGTTACTGGGGCTACAGGTGTGCACCACCACACCCGGCTAATTTTTGTATTTTTTTATAGAGACAGGGTTTTGCCATGTTGGCCAGGCTGGTCTCAAACTCCCGGGCTCAAGCGATCTTCCTGCCTCGGCCTCCCAAAGTGCTGGGATTACAGGCATGAGCTATTGCGTCCCGCCTTCAAATTACTTTAACCTAGTATTAATTCATTCAACAGGAAGTTAATGAGCCAGGCAGGATAAAGCAGTAAGATAGGAAAATATTGCTATTTTCATGGCTGAGAGAGAGCAGACAAACACATGACTAAATAGGGCAATTTCAGGTAGTAATAAATTCTAGGAGGGAAAAAATCCCACAGAAATGTGAGGATGGGAGAATGCAGTTAGTTTTGATAGGTGGTTTAGAGAAGGTGATCGTGTGAGCTGACACCTGAATGACAATTAGTAGTCTGAATTTTGTTTTGCTTAATTATCAAAATAACTCCTCTTGGGTTCGGCTTTTATATGCATCCAGTAATTAAAATGTAAGTATATTCAATGTACTGATATCTCTCAGCATCATAGGTAGGAAAACTAAGGCATTCAGCAATTAAGTGACTCCTCCCTTGATCATGTAGCAGTGATAGTACTGGATTTAGATTTTGAGGTTGCTTCTCTGCCCTTTTCTGCCTTTGTGAAACCAACAAAGCTGCCTGTATTTTCCAACTCTTCCTTCAGCATGTGGTACCTCCTTTACATCTGTTTTTGTTGCTCTGAAATCCATACGCGACGATGAGCTGAGAGGGGCAGAAAATTGAGCTTGTTCTGAGACTGGAGGCTTTTGGTTTATCTCTTGCAGGTCAAGTACATTTTGTCCTGGGCTCTCCCTGGTGGCCACGTTTGTTTATCTCCTGCGGGAGTAAATAAACTTGCCTTGCTGAAAAATAACAGTTCTGTGTCTTTGCAGTGGAAACTGGGATGTCTTTATTAACGTTAGGTCCTGATGTAAGGCCAAGTTTTTGGTTAGAGTTGCTCAAGTGCAGAGGCCACTGCTAAGATGACTTACCCCTCGTGTCCATGGTCAATGTGGAGACTGTTATGAGTGGCACATGATGCTGGAAAAGCAGAGCCAACTCATGTTTGTAATTGTCCTAGCAGGCCGTGGTGTACTTTGTTAGGCAGCCACAGAACAATAGAGAAACTCAGCTTATTCCCCTTCCCTCTGGGAAACACAGACAGTACTTGCCATCCAACGCCAATGTTTTTAAGGAAGAAAGAGGCAAAAAGTGATGTTGGCAAGGTCTCTGGGAGTTGTGGACCCCAACCAAGGATTGGAGACCCTGAAATGGATTCAGATGCCCTAAAATGCAGCCCAGTTCATTACTATGAATTTTGGAGGACTTTGTGCCTTGAGCAAATGTGTATATGTGACGCTCTTTGACAACACTGAAATAGGAAAAATACTATCCATGTTCGCGAGGAGCACTGAATTTAGAGAGGGAGACAGACTTTTATGCCAGCATCAAATGAATTTGATAAAGCTAGTACCAAAATGAAATTTGAAATTTTTTTTTTTTGAAATAGAGTCTTACTCAGTCACCCAGGCTGGAGTGCAGTGATACAATATTGGCTCACTGCAACCTCCACCTCTTGGGTTCAAACAATTCTTGTGCCTCAGTCTCCTGAGTAGCTGGGATTACAGGTGCGTGCCACCATGTCTGGCTAATTTTTATATTTTTAGTAGGGATGGGGTTTCACCATGTTGGCCAGGCCGGTCTTGAACTCCTGGCCTCAAGTGATCTGCCCACCTTGGCCTTCCAAAGTGCTGGGATTATAGGCATGAGCTACCACACAAGCCTGAAATTTGAAATGTATTGGTATAGAATATACTGTTTAGAATGTATGTGTATATATGTATATTTGTATACTCATATAAACACAAATACACATTGTATGTGTTTCTGTAATATGTATATCTGTCTACACATACATGTATATACACACATACAATGTCTTTTTTTTTTTTTTTTTTTTTTGAGACAGGGTCTTACCCTGTTGCCCAGGCTGGAGACTGCAGTGGCATAATCTTGGCTCACTGCAGCCTCGACCTCCTGGGCTCAAGTGATCCTCCCATCTCAGCCTCCTGAGTAGCTGGGACTGACTACAGGCACGTGGCATCAAACTTGTCCAATTTTTCTATTTTTTTGTAGAGTTAGGGTCTTGCTCTGTTGCCCAGGCTGGTCTCAAATTCCTGGGCTCAAGCTGTCTGCCTGCCTCGGCCTTCCAAAGTACTAGGATTACAGATGTGAACCACTGTACCTGGCCTTTACAATGTCTATTTTAAAGATAATGGTTCAAGTTTTTATCATCCCACTGGCCTACTCTAATGAAACATCTATCCATTCATTGAAGAATTATTTATGGTGGGATAACTCTGTGCCAGGTACCGTGCTAGGCATTGAGTATTCCAGGTTTTAGGAAACAGCACATGCAAAAGTGCTGAAGTGGGAGAAGATCTCGGAGTGATTGAAGGCTAGGAGAGAGCAAGTGTGGGAGCTGTGAGGCTGGGAAGGTGGGAGGTAGGTGGGAGCAGACCACATAGGGATTCTTAATGTCTTTAGTGTCATGTGGACCATGGAGAGGAGTGTAGATTGTATTTTTAGAGCAATGCAAAATCATAGAAGGATGTGATCGGGGGAGTGGCATGAGCTGATCTATTTAAAAATATTTCTCTGGCTGCTGTGAAGGAAGGATTGTAGGAGGCAGGAGTAGATTCAGGGAGATGAGACAAGTGATGAGAGAGGCTTTGAACTTGGGTAAAAGTAGTTTGTGGAAAGTCTTTTTTGGAGGTAGTTTTTGTTTATTGCCTTGTCATCAAAGCAGAGATGCTGACCAATGAAACTCCATGAGAAAATAGTGATTTATAAAGACATATCTATGCACTGCCATTAAAAAGCTGCTTGGAAAAAAAGGATAAAAAGCTGCTTTAACAACTTTTTTTTTTGAGATGGGGTCTTACTCTGTCACCCAGGCTCACGACCTCAGCTCACTGCAACCTCTGCCTCCCAGGCTCAAGCATTCTCCCACCTCAGCCTCCCGAGTGGCTGGGACTGCAGGCACACGCCACCATGTCAGGCTAATTGTGTGTGTGTGTGTGTGTGTGTATGTGTGTGTGTGTGTGTGTGTGTGTGTGCTGGGACTGCAGGCACACACCACCATGTCAGGCTAATTGTGTGTGTGTGTGTGTGTGTGTGTGTGTGTGTGTGTGTGTGTGTGTGTGTGTATGTAGAGATGGGGTTTTGCCATGTTGCCCAGGCTGGTCTCAAAATGTTGCCCAGGCTGGTCTCAAACTCCTGAGCTCAGGTGATCCACCCGCCTCGGCCTCCAAAGTGCTGGAGATTACAGACGTGAGCCACTGTGCCCACCTAACAACTTTAAAAAAATTTTGACATTTAGTAGGATATTTATTGCATTATTGTTGAGATGGCAAAATATTGGAGACAACTGAAATGTTCATCAGTGGGGGGGGCTAGTTAAATGAAATACAGTGTAGCATGCATTAGAACACTTTTCAAGAATTTAACTTTTTTTGTAGCCTTTTACTTATAATGCTTGTCCCTATTGATGCCTTTTTTTTCAGCATGACTTACTCTTTTACTATAGGATATTAAAATTTAATTAGATTAGAAATGAGGAATATTCTTGTAATCTGTAGAAAGTAACAAACTATAAACTTATTCCCCAAGAACAAATATAATAATTTTTCTGGAGTAGCAGGTAAGAAAGATATAAATTTATATGTATACAAGAAACTGAAATTAGACTTTATACATTTAAAGGTTACAAGTGCAGTTTTATTACATGAATGTATTATCCAGCATTGAAGTCTGGGCTTTTAGTGTAACCAGCACCTGAATAACATACATTGTACCCATTAAGTAATTTCTCATCCCTCAAACCCCTCCCACCCTGAAATTAGACTTTGGATCCCTAGTTTAAATTCCACCCCTCTCTTTTTTTGAGACAAGGTCTCACTCTGTCACCCAGGCTGGAGGGCAATGTTGCAATGATAGCTTACTGTAGCCTCAACCTCCTGGGCTCAAGGGATACACCCTCCTCAGCCTCCTGAGTAGCTGGAACTGCAGGCGTGCACCACCACATTCAGCTAATTTTTTGATTTTTTTATAGAGATGAGGTCGGAACTCCTGGGCTCAAGCGATTCTCCCCAAGTGCTGGGGTTACACACATGGGCCACTGCCCCCAGCCTAAACCTCCTTTCTCAGTATAGCAGCCTTGAGATGAAGTTCCTGAAATTACTGGCCAGCTTGACTGTTTCCCCACATCACTGGAGGAGGGGGATGCATAGATAAAACAAAATATTCAGCATCATTGTATTTTCTTTTTGTTTCATCAGCATCTTTTTTTAAAACTCACTTGACATAAGTCCCTAGCCTCAAAGAGTAAAGCCTTTGCAGAATCTGCATTCAGATTTCGGGTGTGATTTCCTGACAGATAGTTCAGGTTTGTAAACTCTTTTTTTTTTCTTTGAGACAGAGTTTCACTCTTGTAGCGCAGGCTGGAGTGCAGTGGCACCATCTTGCCTCACTGCAACTTCTGCCCCCTTGATTCACGCGATTCTCCTGCCTCAGCCTCCTGAGTAGCTGGGATTACAGGCATGCGCCACCACACCTGGGTAATTTTTGTATTTTTAGTAGAGATGGGGTTTCACCATGTTGGCCAGGCTGGTTTTGAACTCCTGACTTCAGGTGATCTACCTGCCTCAGCCTCCCAAAGTGATGGGATTACAGGTGTGAGCCACCGCAGCCGGCCAAAACTTTGTTTTTTTTCCTCTTTTTGTTGCTGAGAAATGTAAACTCTTACAGACACAAATTATGTCTCCCATTTTTTAAAACCCACTCAACACAGGGGTCATGTGTAATAGGCCCTGGAGCTTATTTTAGACATTGATTTGAGGCTCTTTTCCCCAAGTGCTGGTTTGTGTGTGTGTGTATGTGTGTGTAAGTCTTTCTATGAGATGAGTGGTACCTACCTGGGCTGTGTGATCTTTTTTATTTTATTTATTTTATTTTTGTAGATACGAGGTCTCACTATGTTGCTCAGGCTGGTCTTGAACTCTGGGGCTCAACCTATCCTCCCTCCTTGGCCTCCTAGAGTGCTGAGATTACAGGTGTGAGCCACTGCACCTGGCCAGCGATCCTTAATAAATATAGATAATGGCCGGGCGTGGTGGCTCACACCTATAATACCAGTACTTTGAGGGGCCGAGGCTGGCAGGTCACCTGAGCTGAGGAGTTTGAGACCAGCCTGGGTAACGTGGGTGAAACCCTGTCTCTACAGAAAATAGAAAAATTAGCCAGGTGTGGTGGTGCATGCCTGTAGTCACAGCTACTTGGGAGGTTGAGACAGGAGAATTGCTTGAACCTGGAAGGTGGAGGTTGCAGTGAGCCGAGATCGTGTCTTTGAACTCCAGCCTGGGTGACAGAGTGAGACCTTGTCTCAAAAAAAAATATAGATATAGGCTGGGCGTGGTGGCTCACACCTGTAATCCCAGCACTTTGGGAGGCCGAGGCGGGTGGATCAGGAGGTCAGGAGATCGAGACCATCCTAGCTAACATGGTGAAACCCTGTCTCTACTAAAAATACAAACAATTAGCCAGGCCTGGTGGTGGGTGCCTGTAGTCCCAGCTACTCGGGAGGCTGAGGCAGGAGAATGGCGTGAACCCGGGAGGTGGAGGTTGCAGTGAGCCGAGACTGTGCCACTGCCCTCCAGCCTGGGCGACAGAGCGAGACTCTGTCTCAAAAAAAAAAAATCTATATATCTATATATCTATATCTATATAGATATAGATATAGATAATGCCAGATGATGGCTGGTTAGAAGGGATTGTCAGGGGCTGGCAGGTTTTGCAGGTGTTAGAATGAGCAAGATGAGGAGAAGGATGCTTACTTCCCTCTCCTTGTAACTCTCTACCCCCTCCCCTCAGTGTTTTTTTATTTTTATTTTTATTTATTTATTTTTTTTGAGACAAGGTCTTGCTCTGTCACCCACACTGGATTGCAGTGATGCAATCATAGCTCATTGAAGCCCAAACTCCTGGGCTCAAGTGATCCTCTTGCCTCAGCCTCCCAAGTAACTGGGACCACAGGTGCGTACAACTATGCCCAGTTAAGTTTTTCATTTTTTATACAGACGGGGTCTTGCTATGCTGTCCAGGCTGGACTTGCACTTCTGGCTTCAAGTGATTCTCTTGCCTCAGTTTCCCAAAGTGCTGGCATTATGGGCATAAGCCACTGTGCCTAGCCCATCAGTGTCTTTTTATCCTTTACTCCTATCAAAATTCATTCACTCAGCAGCCATTGATCAAGTGCCTACTATATACATGTTGAGGACTGGAAATTTATTTGTCTCTTCTCATCTTATCTGGACCCTCTGTGTTAATTGTAATTAACTGTAATCATTCTGTATTAATTGTAATAAACTTGTTGATAAACTCAAATGAGGCCATACCGTTTTGCCACTTCCCCTCCTTCCAGGTTATATGGATGTACTTACATTGCAGGTTTCATTTGTTGGTTCAGTTTTTAAACTAAGCCCTATTGTGTCAAATTATGCTAGGTGTGAGATGGGGAGTTCAAGCTGTGTGTTGTCTTTTTTTTTTTTTTTTTTTTTGCCTCACTTACTAATATACAAGCGCTTATAACCTTTGAGGCTGGCCCTATACATTAAGATTTTTATTAATTCCACTGTTCTTTATCTTCTCTTACTAAGTTCTCAGGGTCGAATGAACTCTAACTGCTCCTTGCTAGTGATAAGCAAGTTGCAAATTACAGAATTGTCAGTGATTGAATACACGTATTAAACCTGTAACTGGGAAGCATTTTTGGTAATTATGAATACTTTTGGAAAAAAAAAAGCTATGGAAGGAAAGTTTAAAATCTACGAAAGCTCAAGTAGATGGTCATGGAATAGCTATTTCAATTTCTAACTATATATTACTTATTTATTTATTTATTTTTGAGACGGAGTTTAGCTCTTGTTGCCCAGGCTGGAGTGTAATGGCGTGATCTCAGCTCACTGCAACCTCCACCTCCCGGGTTCAAGCTATTCTCCTGCCTCAGCCTCCCGAGTAGCTGGGATTATAGACATGTGCCACCACGCCAGGCTAATTTTGTATTTTTAGTAGAGACGGGGTTTCTCCACATTGGTCAGGCTGGTCTCGAACTCCCAACCTCAGCTGATCCGCCTGCCTCGGCCTCCCAAAGTGCTGGGATTACAGGCGTGAGCCACCGCGTCCGGCCTCTTAACTATTGTTTGAAATAATGTAGAGACAGCTCCAGAGCCATGAAGAAGTGTATGAAGAAGCAGTGTTAGCTTAAATGACATACATGTCACAATTGCCTATGTGAAACTATCATAATTATGCATGAGAAGTATCTATCCTGCATAACCTCCACCAATAATAATAATGTTAATAATAGTGAAAACTAATGTTTATTAAGTCCTTACTGTCTCCAGCCTCTGTGCTAAATACTGGTTACTAAGTTTCCCTGAAAATACTATTCTCATCTGTTTGTTCTTAATAACAGGATAGCATAATTGTAAGTTGTAAATGAAATAATACAGTTTATGTAATAAAAGGGTAAAAGAGAAGACCACCTACCTTATCTTCTGTTGCTGATCTGGATGGATGTAGGTGGTGTTTACCTAGTTTCACCTTTGGCAGTTGAAACTACTTTTTTTTTTTTTTTTTTTTTTTTTAAGAGACAGGGTGGGCCAGGCGCAGTGGCTCACGCCTGTAATCCCCGCACTTTGGGAGGCTGAGGCGGACAGATCACTTGAGGTCAGAAGTTCGAGACCAGCCTGGCCAACATGGTGAAACCCTGTCTCTACTAAAAATACAGAAAAATTAACTGGGTGTGGTGGTACACACCTGTAATTCCAGCTACGTGGGAGGCTGAAGCAGGAGAATCGCTTGAACCCGGGAGTGGAGGTTGCAGTGAGCTGAGATTGTGCCACTGCACTCCAGCCTGGGTGACAGAGCAGGACTCCGTCTCAAAAAAAAAAACAACAACAAAAAAAGAAATTTTTAGAAATATGAGATGACAGCAAGAATGAGGGTATTAAAAAGAAATTTTTAGAACTAAATAGCAGAATGTAATGGTGAAAAGTTTGATTTCTCAAGTCTGCTTTGCACACAGGCATGTGGCAAACATTCAGTAAGTATAGCTGTAATTTTAACCAGCTGTAATGTATAATAGCCAACATATCACATTTTTCTTTTTTCTTTTTTGAGACAGAGTCTTGCTCTGTTGCCCAGGCTGGAGTGCAGTGGCACCATCTCGGCTCACTGCAACCTCTGCCTCCTGAGTTCAAGTGATTCTTGTGCCTCAGCCTCTCAAGTAGCTGGGATTACAGGTGTGTGCCACCACACTCGGCTATTTTTTGCATTTTTAGTAGAGATGGGGCTGGTCTTGAACTCCCAGCCTCAGGTGATCTGCCTGCCTCAGCCTCCCAAAGTGCTGAGATTACAGGTGTGAGCCACAGCGCCTGGCCATATATTGCTTTTTTCTTATTATCAGAGCCAGTTCATAATTGTGGAAAAATAGTGTTTGTAACAATGTAAGTATGGATAAATCATCTTTTTAATTTTGTGATTCATATAGGTTTGTTGTTGTTGTTGTTGTTTTGTTTTTATCTTGAGACAGAGTCTTGGTCTGTCACCCAGGCTGGAGTGTAATGGCACAACCATGGCTCACTGCAGCCTCAGATGCCTGGGTTCAAGCAATCCTCCCGTCTCAGCCTCTAGAGTAGATGGGACCACAGGTGTGGGCCACCATGCCTGGGTAATTACAAAACTTTTTTTTTTTTTTCTAGAGATGAGGTCTCACTATGTTGCCCAGGCTGGTCTCAAACCTTTGACCTCGCTTCAGCCTTTAGAGTAGCTATGACTATAGGCATGTGCCATCACCCAGCTAATTAAAATTTTTTTTCTTTTTTTTTTTGGTGGAGATGCGGTCTTACTTTGTTACCCAGACTGCAAGTTAGTTTCAGATATCAACATTTGGTGTTTCCAAATGCACGGGGAGGCTTTGGAGCAAGTTTTTGGCTCATATGCATAGGTGTCCTAGACATTCACTTTGCAAATTCTTATTAAAATGACTACAGTAGCATACAGATAGGGAAAAATATCCTTGTCAGTACCACCGATTGGGTGAGAAGAGACTGTATATTAAAAACAATGACCATCTTTTTGCCACATAAATTGCTGGTGGGGCCAGTTTGAAGAGGGCTTTGTCAGCTGCCTTCTGCCTCTTCCTCTTGAGTACGTGGAGTTGGAGTCATCCTTGACAGCCTCCTGTTGACACCACCCGGGTCACAGATGTGAAACTGTGTGGATGTAGGAGAGAGCAGTGATGGGGCTTACCCCAAGGTTGCTCTTCCTTCCCTCTGGCCACAAATGTTTAGTAAGGAACTGCTCTGTATTAACCATTTGCTAGGGGCTGCAGATACGGTGGTGAAGAAATAGACATGTTCCTACTCGGGATGCTGAGGTGGGAGGATTGCTTGAGCCCAGGAGTTGGAGCTGCAGTGAGCCATGATCACACCACTGCACTCCAGCCTGGGGGACAGAGCGAGACCCTATCTCTAAAAAACAATAAAAGAAATAGATGTGTCCTTCACCCTCATGGAACTGCCAGTCTAGCCTTCAACCTGGTGACTGTAGAAATGTGTGATTAGATGCTATATTGCCATGTTGAGTGTCACCCCTGAGAAGCAGGGTTTTTTTTGAGAAGGTAGGATGGGGGATCTGACTGTGGGACCACCAGAGGGAAAAGCACATGTAAAAGCTGCGTGTACCAACTGGAGGAAATCGGAGACGTGATCAGAGAACCAGAGTCAACCAGGGGCCATGCCGTACAGGGTCCTGTTAAGATCTGTGACTTTTTTCTAAACGTTTTCTTCTGGATAACATCTAAATTTCTAGTTCCAAATGTGAAACTCCAAGGGCGTTCTGTGCTAAACATTTTGCATGTATTAATTAATTTCCACCACACAACATTGCTGTGAATTAAGACAGTTTCTAAGCATGGCAAGAAACCCAGAAATCATAATGGAAAAATCTGATAAATTTAACAATGCCAACATGAACCTCTGTAGGAAAAAAAATACCACAGACTAAAAAGGGGGGAAAAAAACCAGAGACAAATATTTGCAACACATACAGTAAAGGGTAATTTTCTGGTTATATCAAGAGCTCCTACAAATCAGTAAGAAAAAAAATCTAATAGGAAATGAGCAACGACAAACTGACAACTCATAGAAAAGGAAACACAAGTGGTCTGAAAACATGAAAAAGTGCTCAGTCTCACAAAGAAATGCAAACTAACATGGTACCATTTTCCATTAATCAGATAGACAAAGATGAAAGAGTTTGGTAATGTATGTAGTATTGGCACAAGTGAGGGAAAACAGGGGATTTCACACTCTATGCCCGTCCAAACCAGTACCTTATTTTGAGGGTGGTTTGACAATATTTGTCAAAATAAAAAAATTATATATAGTCATTTGCCACATAATGATGGTTCAGTTGATGATGGACGGCATACATAATGGTGGTCCCATAAGAATATAATGGGCTGGGTGCAGTGGCTCTCACCTGCAATCCCAGCACTTTGGGAGGCCGAGGTGGGTGGATTGCCTGAGGTCAGGAGTTTGAGACCAGCCTGGCCAACATGGTGAAACCCTGTCTCTGCTAAAAACATACAAACAATTAGCCAGGCATGGTGGCGGGTGCCTGTAATCCCAGCTACTCAGGAGGCAGAGGCAGGAGAATCGCTTGAACCCGGAAGGCGGAGGTTGCAGTGAGGTGAGATTGGGCCACTGCACTCCCATCTAGATGACAAGGCAAAACTCCATCTCAAAAAAAAAAAAAAAAAAGAATATTATGGGCCCAGCCACAGTGGCTCACACCTGTAATCCCAGTACTTTGGTAGGCCAAGGCAGGAGAATCATTTGAACTCAGGAGTTTGAGACTAGTGGGGACAACATAGCAAGACCCCATCTCAAAAAAAAAAGATTATGGTGGAGCTGTCCTGTATAGACATACCATTTTTAACTTTTTTTTTTTTTGAGATGGAGTCTTGCTGTGTCACCCAGGCTGATGTGTAGTGGCGTGATCTGGGCTTACTGAAACCTCCACCTCCTGGGTTCAAGCGATTCTCCTGCCTCAGCTTCCTGAGTAGCTGGGACTGCAGGCGCAGGACACCATATCTGGCTAATTTTTATATATTTAGTAGAGATGGGGTTTCACCATGTTGGCCAGGCTGGTCTTGAACTCCTGACCTCAAGTGATCCGCCTGCCTCAGCCTCCCAAAGTGCTGGGATTACAGGCATTAGCCACCATTTACAGGCACCTGGCCACCATTTTTAATCTTTTATATTGTATTTAAACTGTACCTTTTCTATGTATGGATGTGTTTAGATACACAAATACCATTGTGTTACAGTTACTTACAGTATTCAGTACAGTAGCATGCTGTACAGGTGTGTAGCCTAGGAGCAATAGGTTATACCATATAGCCCAGGTGTGTAGTAGGCTCTGCCATCTAGGTTTGTGTAAGTACGCTCCATGATGTTACCACAGTGACGAAATCGCCTAATGATGCATTTCTCAGAACATATTCCTGTTGTTAAGCAATGCATGACCGTATCTTGACAAAGCCATTTTATTTCTAAAACTTTAATTTTACAGATTTATTTGTAAAAGTATGTAAAAATGATTGTAAAGGATATGTTCTGCTGCATTATTTGTAATAACAAAAAACCAGAGGATAACATAAATGTCCTATAAGAAGGGTTAGATTATGGATGGCACATTCATACAATGGGGTATTATGTAGCCATTGAATAAAAGGGTACTGGCTGGGCGCAGTGGCTCATGCCTATAATCTCAACACTTTGGGTGGCCAAAGAAGGAGGATTGCTTGAAGCCAGGAGCTTGGGGCCAGCCTGGGCAACATAGCAAGACCCTATCTCTACAAAGGAAAAATAAAACAATTAGCCAGGTTTGGTATTGGACACCTTCATGGTCCCAGCTACTGAGGAGGCTGAGATTGGAGGGATCGCTTGTGCCTGGCAGGTTGAGGCTGTAGTGAGCCATGATTGTGCCACTGCACTCCAGGCTGGGAGATAGAGTGGGACCCTATCTCAAAAAAACAAAAACAAAAACAAAACCTCCTGTAAAATGTCAAGAAGTCCTAGATGTGGGCCAGGTGTGGTGGCTCACACTTGTAATCCCTGCACTTTGGGAGGCTGAGGCCAGGAGTTTGAGACCAGGCAGAGCAAGATAGCAAGACTCCATTTCTACAAAAAATAAAAAAAATTAGTTGGGCATAGTGGTGCATTCCTGTAGTCCCAGCTACTCAGGAGGCTGAGGTGGGAGGATTGCTTGAGCCTGGGAGGTTGAGGCTGCAGTGAGCCATGATCACACCTCTGCACTCCAACCTGCGCAACAGAGTGAGACCCTGTCTCTAAAAACAACAACCAAAAAAACCCAGCAAAGTACTGATAAAGATCTTTGGCTGGGCGCAGTGGCTCACACCTGTAATCCCAACACTTCAGGAGGCTGAGGCGGGCAGGTCACAAGATCAAGAGATCAAGACCATCCTGGCCAACATGGTGAAACCCGGTCTCTACTAAAAATACAAAAATTAGCTGGGCATGGTGGCGTGCACCTGTAGTCTCTGCTACTCGGGAGGCTGAGGCAGGAGAATCACTTGAACCCAGGTGGCAGAGGTTGCAGTGAGCCGAGATCACGCCACTGCATTCCAGCCTGGCGACAGAGCAAGACTCCGTCTCAAAAAAAAAAAAAAGAGAGAAAGATCTTCAAGTTGTAGTATGTGAAAAAATCAGGGTGTAAAACAAGAGAATCCCATTTGTGTGTGTGTCGAGTGTGTTTCACACAGGCTCAGAGGGAGTAGTGTGTATATGCACATGAACATACGTGTCAGTGTATATATGTATATATACAAGGTTGTGGGTTTGTTTGTTTTTTTTGAGACAGAGTCTTACTCTGTTGCCCAGGCTGGGGTGCAGTGGTGCAATCTTGACCCACTGCAACCTTCACCTCCCAGGTTCAAGTGATTCTTGTGCCTCAGCCTCCCAAGTAGCTGAGACTACAGGCACGCACCACCATGCCCAGTTAATTTTTGTATTTTTAGTAGAGATGGGGTTTCATCATGTTGCCCAGGCTGGTCTGGAACTCCTGGCCTCAAGTGCTCTGCCCGCCTTGGCCTCCGAAAGTGCTGTTGCCCAGGCTGGAGCTCAGTGGCACAATCGCAGCTCACTGCAACCCCGACGTCCCAGGCTCAGGCAATCTTTCCGTCTTAGCTTCCCAAGTAACTGGGACTACAGGTGTGTGCCATCAATGCCCCACCAATTTTTTAATTTTTTGTAGAGATGGGGTTTCCCTACGTTGCCCAGGCTGATCTTGAACTCCTGGTCTCAAGCAATCCTCCCACCTCAGCCTCCCAAAGTGCTGCGATTACAGGTGTGAGCCACCTTGCCCTGCCCTGTACAAAGATCTGCATAAAAGCAGTTAATAATACTATGTTTGAGGCTGCCATCACAGGGGTGAGGTCAAGGACAAGTGTGAGAAATTCTTTTAGAATCTATTTTAAAAAAAGAAGAGATGACAGTGGTGACAGTCAGGGAACAGATAAGCAGGTAGATTGTGGGGGTCTAGGCTGTCTAACTGGTGTTTAAAATGAAGCAACCGCTGAGCCTGCTGTATTTCATTTAATGGAGACTAGTAAAACAACAGCCAGAAATTCTTCACTTTCCATCTAAGAGAGGCAAAAGTTATTTTCCCTTCAATAACCTGGGACTGTAGGATTAAGGTTTTTTTTTTTTTTTTTTTAAATACTACAATATGACTACCAGTATAATTTAAAAATGATTAGAATTCTATTTGAGTAAGAAATAGGTGTCTGCCTGAAGTAGACAGTCACTGAAGTCACTAAGTGGCAAAAGACAGAAAAAAAATTGAAAGTAGGAAACAATCAGCAGATATGATACCAAACATGAGCTGTCAGTGATAATGGATTAAGTCCTTCAATAATGGCTGAGCCAGATGGAATTAAAAGAAAAAATCCAGGCCGGGCATGGTGGCTCACACCTGTAATCCCAGCACTTTGGGAGGCTGAGGTGGGAGGATCACTTGAGTCCAGGAGTTTGAGACCAGCCTGAACAACATAGTGGGACCCCATCTCTATTTTATAAAAATATTTTGAAAAAAGAAAAAAAAATTCAGTTGTGTTCTGCTTTAAAAAGACAAATTGGCACAGAATGTCAAAGAATAAATAAAACAAACATGGGCAAAAGAGATTCAGGTGGTACCAATATCGGGCTAAGTAGCATTCAAGATAAAGATTATTAAATAATAAGTTAGTTAATACTAGAGTAATTGCATATTAATGAAACATAATCTATGGTAGAGATATTATAGTCAATAATTGTTTTATGTATTCATTAAGGTAACAACAAGCAAACAAGCTTTAATAGTTTTAAATGCTTTATATGCTTTATAGTTCTTTTATGTGCATTAATTCATTAATTCTCATTTCCTATGAGGTAAACACTATTATTATCCACATTTTACAGATGTAAAAACCGAAGCAGAGAGATTAATTAGCTTGCCCAGGAGATGTGGCATTCTGGGATTTGAGACAGTGGTTTGGCTCTGTAGGTTGCTTCAATAACCAAGAGATGCTTCAAATCAGATTTTTAAAATATGTTTTTCAGAAGCATTTTCCTGATACTTCTCCCCTTACATGGGTGTTAGTCTTTTGGGTTGAAAAACATGAGTAAGTGCTAGAAGAGCAAAATATGCATCCAGATTTAATAGTATGTCTGTTTTTCTGAGCCTTGGCATTTCATTGCTTTTATAATAGAAATGAAGGCTTTTTTTTTTTTTTGGCTGAGAATAGCACTGAACTCAGTGGGAGGGACTGTGGGTTGTAAGTTGTCCGCCTCTGAATGGAGTTGAATTTAAGTTTCTTGGTTTCCAAAGAATGATTGATTTAAAGACCCTCAAATTGCAAGTTAGAACTGACTTCAGTCCTTGAGGTTTTTTACCATTTAATGAATAATTAAATTTATGGTAATAAATGGTAATAAATGGTAAAAATGGTAATAAATTTTACCATTTAATGAATTTTTCTTAAAAAGCAATTGAATTGTTGATGAAAGGTGATGTTAAAATTATCCCAGATTTATCAATCTTTTTTTTATTGCCCCTGGATTTTGAGTCATAGAAAGCCTTTCCTTATTCTAAGGTTAACAAGACATTCACCCATGTTTTCCTCTAGTATTGCATTGTTTCATCTTTTACGTTTATTATTTATTTTATTTTATTTTTTTGAGACAGGGTCTCACTGTGTCACTCAGGCTGGAGTGCAGTGGAATGATCTTGGCTCACTGCAGCCTCTGCCTCCCGCCTCCCGGGTTCAAGCGATTCTGCTGCCTCGGCCTCCCAAGTAGCTGGGATTACAGGCACCTGCCACCGCGCCTGGCTAATTTTTGTATTTTTTTTTTAGTACAGATGGGGTTTTGCTGTTGGCCAGGCTGGTCTCGAACTCCTGACCTTAAGTGATCCACCCGCCTTGGCCTCCCAAAGTGCTGGGATTACAGGCATGAGCCACCGTGCCCGGCCTAAAATTTATTCTGATATGTGATATGATGTATGGTTCTAACTACTTTGTTACGGTGCATTATTTTCTAAATGTGGTATTGGATTCTTTTATATTTTGTTTAGAAGTTCTGCATCAATATTCATGAGTACCATTGGTCTCTGTTGTTTTTCTTGTGCCATCTTTATTGGTATAGGTATCAGTGTTATATTTAGTTTGTAAAAGGAAGTTGGAAGTTTTCCTTTCTTTTTAGTACTCAGGAATGATTTTAAGAATTGAGACTATTTGGTCTTTGAAGGTTTGGTAGAAGTCCATTGGGAATCCATCTGGGCCTGGTGATTTTCTGTGCGGTAGTTCCTTAATTGTTTTCCCTATTTTTTCTTATTTTTAATCAGGTAGCCTCTGAACCAGAATAGGTTCAGAGAGGCTCCCTCTATTTTTTTTAATACAAGTTGGTCTGCCTAAGTTTTCTTACTCTAATGGGTTAATTTTTGTAGACTGCATTTCCCTGAAAAATTACACGTTTGTTCTAGGTTTTCTGACTTATTTCCACAACTTTTTAGTCTTTCCCCCTGGAATCATGCCCCTTTCCATAAACAGGACTCTGATGTACCTGAAGTATTTTCACACTTCGGGTGGACTTTCTGTTTCTGGGGGTGGTTTTAGAGCAATTTTAGGCCTGCCACTAGCTACCCTGTTCTCTACACCATGCTGTTTTTCTCAGAATGCTCTTCTTTTGCACAAAGGCTTGGAGTAGGAGGTTGAGCAGTCACTCACTGACGTTTGGTATATTTTCTTTTTTTTGCTTACAGGTAATCTGGAAGTTTGGGCATTCTCTTTAAGTTGAGGGTGTGGTTTTCATGTCATTTTATTTGTTTATTGTTTTCTTGTGTGTGTTTCTTAGAGACAGGGTCCCACTCTTGCCCTGGCTGGAGTGCAGTGGCGTCTTGATCATAGCTTACTGCATCCTCAAGCTGCTGGGCTTAGATGAACCTCCCACCTCAGCCTCCTGAGTAGCTGGGACTACAGGAGCACACCACCATACCTAATTTTTTTTTTTTTGAGACGAAGTCTTGCTCTGTCCCCCAGATTGGAGTGTAGTGGTGCAATCTCGGCTCACTGCAACCTCTGCCTCCCGGGTTCAAGCGATTCTCTCACCTCAGCCTCCCGAGTAGCTGAGACTGCAGGTGCATGCCACCATACCCGGCTAATTTTTGTATTTTTTAGTAGAAACAGGGTTTCACCATGTTGGCTAGGCTGGTCTCAAACTCTTGACCTCAAGTGATCCACCCACCTTGGCCTCCCAAAGTGCTGGGATTACAGGCTTGAGCCACTGTGCCTGGTCCCTGGCTAATTTTTAATTTTTTTGTAGAGATGGGATCTTGCTATGTTGCCCAGGCTGGTCTTGAACACCTGGCCTTAAGCAATCCTCCCACCCTAGCCTGCCAAAACACTGGGATTTACAGGCATGAACCATTGTGCCTGGCTTGTTTTGTTTTTAATTCTATGTTGTTTTTGAAGGATGTATGGGGAGAGATGGATTTAGGCAATCATCGTTGTCCTTGGCTACCTGAAAGTCCAGGCACTCTTCTAGATACTTTATAAATATTAACTCATTTTATCCTCTCAACAACACTATGACATGGGTACTGTTACACCTTCCATTTTATAGGACTTAACAGAGAGGTTAAATATGTAGCCCAGGGTCACAGAGAGCTGGGCTTCAGACCAAGACAATCTGGCACCAGAGTCTATGTGGCTACCCCTAAGGCTTTGCCACCATGTGTTAGTGATTCTCAGCCTGTCATTTGGGGAGGGGATTGCCCTTTTTTTTAAACTTTTTAAAAAATTTATTCTTATTTTATTATATTTTTGAGACAGAGTCTCCCTCTTTTGCCGAGGCTGGAGTGGAGTGGTGTGATTTCAGCTCACTGTAACCTCTGCCTCTGGGGTTCAAGTGATTCTCATGCCTCAGCCTCCCAAGTAGCTGGGATTACAGTTGCCAGCCACCATGCCCAGCTAATTTTTGTATTATTATTATTATTATTTGAGACGGAGTCTCGCTCTTTTGTTCAGGCTGGAGTGCAGTGCTGTGATCTCGGCTCTCTGTAACCTTCGTCTCCTGGGTTCAGGTGATTCTCCTGCCTCAGCCTCCGGAGTAGCTGGGACTATAGGCGCGCACCACCATACTTGGCTAATTTTTTGTATTTTTAGTAGAGACGGGGTTTCACTATGTTGGCCAGGCTGGTCTCGAACTCCTGACCTCAGGTGATCTACCTGCCTTGGCCTTCCAAAGTGCTGGGATTACAGGTGTGAGCCACCATGCATGGCTGGATTGTCCTTTTTTAAAAAAAAAAACAAAAACAAAAAAAAAAACCCAAACCATAAACCCAATATTCTGAAAGATTTGGTCTCCACACCTGTGTTATATAATAATTAGTTTTTCCATTTTTTTCCTCTTGGTAGAAGGCACATATGCCACTCAGTTTCCAGTTGCCACACCCAATTAACATAATTGTTTTGCAGCCAAAAGCAAAAGAGAGTTGACATTTTAATTAGCTTATGTAGGTAGACAAATTGAGGCCTAATGTAAGAGTTTCATTATACCTTTTTGAAAAACTATAAATAGCTAGAAGCCAGTTGTCATTACTTTTTGATTCCTTAGAATTCTGGGCATCTTTCATCTGGAACCACAGATGAAAGAAGCTGCAAGGAAGGATTTTTTTTCTTAACGGAATAGTTTAACCATTCTGAATGCAAAAGTATTGGATGCTAGAATAATAGGTATCACATAAATTGAGGTTGACGTTTTCCCGGGTGAAATTCTATTCTGTCTCAATTTTCCTTTTTTTTTGAGACGGAATCTTGCTCTGTCGCCCAGGCTGGAGTGCAGTGGCATGATCTCGGCTCACTGCAAGCTCCACCTCCTGGGTTCATGCCATTTTCCTGCCTCAGCCTCCCGAGTAGCTGGGATTACAGGGGCCTGCCACAACACCCAGCTAATTTTTTTGTATTTTTAGTAGAGACGGGGTTTCCCAGGATGGTCTCAATCTCCTGACCTCGTGATCCGCCTGCCTCGGCCTCCCAAAGTGCCGGGATTACAGGCGTGAGCCACTGTGCCTGGCCTTTTTTTTTTTTTTTTTTTTTTTTTTTTAAGACAGAGTCTCGCTTTGTTGCCTAGGCTGGAGCGCAGTGGCATGATCTCAGCTTATTGCAACCTCCGCCTCCCGGGTTCAAGTGATTCTCCTGCCTCAGCCTCCCGAGTATCTGAGATTACAGATGTGTGCCACCATGCCTGGCTAATTTTTGTATTTTTAGTACAGATGAGGTTTTGCCATGTTGCCCAGGCTGGCCTCAAACTCCTGACCTCAGGTAATCCTCCTGCCTCAGCTCTTCCCAAAGTGCTGGGATTATAGGCATGAGTCACCGGGCCCAGACTCAATCTTCTGACAAGCTCTCAGAGAGAGTAAAAAGCAAATGAATATTTCATTATTTTGATCTGAGCTTTACGATTTTTCTTTTCTTTTCTTTTTTTTTTTTTTTTGAGATGGAGTTTTGCGTTGTTGCCCAGGCTAGAGTGCAGTGGTGGCGATCTTGGCTCACCGCACCCTCCGCTTCCCGGGTTCAAGCGATTCTTCTGCCTCAGCCTCCTGAGTAACTGGGATTACAGGCATGCGCCACCATGCCCGGCTGATTTTGTATTTTTAGTAGGGACAGGGTTTCTCCATGTTGGTCAGGCTGGTCTTAAGCTCCCGACCTCAGGTGATCCACCTGCCTCGGCCTCCCAAAGTGCTGGGATTACAAGCATGAGCCACCTTGCCCAGCCTTTTTTTTTTAAATCTGAGAAGAGGTCTTGCTCGATTGCCTAGGCTGGAGTGCAGTGGTGCGATCTCTGCTCACTGCATTCTCTGCCTCCCAGACTCAAGCAATCCTCCCACCTTAGCCTCCTGAGTAGCTGGGACTACAGGCATATGCCACCACACCTGGCTAATGTTCGTATTTTTTTGTAGAGACAGGGTTTTGCCATTTTGCCCAGGCTGGTCTTGAACTCCTGACCTCAGGTGATCCTCCCACCTTGGCCTCCCAAAGTGCTGGGATTACAGGTGTGAGCCACTGTGCCTGGTCTCCTTCACTGTTGTAAGATACTTGAATTGGGTCAATATTTGTGGAGAAGTCTCTTAAAAGTTCACTTGATTGTCAGTACTAGAACTCTACATTTAATATTGACATATTCCTGGGAGCATTTCAGAGCATTCTATTAGCTTAGAAAGGTCCAGGATAATTTGACTTTAGAAGTTACTGTTACCATGAATCTCAATGACTTTTGAAATCCATGAAGAATATCTTTTTTTTTTTTTTGAGACGGAGTCTCACTCTGTCGCCCAGGCTGGAGTGCAGTGGTGATCTGGGCTCACTGCAAGCTCCGCCTACTGGGTTCACGCCATTCTCCTGCCTCAGCCTCCCGAGTAGCTGGGATTACAGGCACATGCCACCACGCCTGGCTAATTTTTTTGCATTTTTAGTAGAGAGGGGGTTTCACTGTGTTAGCCAGGATGGTCTCGATCTCCTGACCTTGTGATCCGCCCGCCTCGGCCTCCCAAAGTGCTGGGATTACAGGCGTGAGCCACCGCGCCTGCCCAAGAATATCTTTTTGCTGGTAACTAGAGAGGACTCCTCTGAAGCAGATGCCATTCATGATGGATTTCATCATTTATGGGTTTTAAAAAACATTTTATTTTGAAATAATTTCAAATTTAAATAAGAGTTGCAAAATAGTACAAATAATTCGTGTTAACTTTTCATCCAGATTTACAAGTCAACCTTATACAGGTTGAGTATCCCTTATCCAAAATGCTTGGGACCAGAAGTGTTTTGGATTTCAGATTTTTTCGAATTTTGGAATATTTTTATTATATACTTAAGCATCTCTAATCCCCAAATCTCAAATCTGAAATATCTGAAATGCTATGATGAGCATTTCCTTTGAGTGTTATGTGGGCACTTTTTAAATTTATTTAATTAATTTATTTTTTGAGATGGAGTATTGCTCCATCACCCAGGCTGGAGTGCAGTGAGCGATCTTGGCTTATTGCAAACTTCACCTTCTGGGTTCAAGTGATTCTCCTGCCTCAGCCCCCTGAGTAGTTGGGACTATAGGCGCTTGCCACCACGGCCGGCTAATTTTTGTATTTTTAGTAGAGACAGGGTTTCACCGTGTTGGCCAGGCTGGTCTCGAACTCCTGACCTCAGGTGGTCCACCTGCCTCCGCCTCCCAAAGTGCTGGGATTACAGGAGTGAACCACCGCGCCTGGCCATGGATTTTGCAGCATTTTAGATTTGGGATACTCAACCTGTACCATGTTTACTCTCTCTCCTCTCTCTCTCTCTCTTTTTATATATATATATATATATATATATATATATATATATATATATATATAAATTATATATACACTACACATATATGTATGTATATGTATGTATTTTATATATAAAATACATATCTACATATAAAATACACATGTATATATACATGTGTACATATATGTGTCTCTATATTTAAGTTTTGTTGGAACCACTTGAGGGTAAGTTGCAGACATGGCGTCTCATTGCTCCAAAATACTTCAGTGTGTATTTCTTAAATACAAGGACACTTGGTTACATAACCACAGTATATCACCAAATGTATATTATAACAAGACTACCATCAAATCCTTATATCTCTTTCAAATTGTTTTAGTAATATCCTTATAGCAAAAGACAAAACAACAACAAAAACTGTTCCCTTTTATTTTGTTTGTTTTGGTCCATTATATGTCCAGGTTATGCATTAATGCATTGTGTTACTTGCTAAGTCTTGTTACTGGCCTTTAATTAGGATATTTCTTTGCATCCCGCCAAACTCCTCTTCATGGTTGTATCTTTTTTTTTTTTTTTGGAGATGGAATTTTGCTTATGTTGCCCAGGCTGGAGTATAATGATGCGATCTTGGCTCACTGCAACCTCCGTCTCCCGGGTTCAAGCGATTCTCCTGCCTCAGCCTCCCGAGTAACTGGGATTGCAGGCCTGCGCCACCTTGCCCAGCTA
Organism: Homo sapiens; assembly: GCF_000001405.40. NCBI lineage: Eukaryota > Metazoa > Chordata > Mammalia > Primates > Hominidae > Homo > Homo sapiens. Next base: position 112,443,525 of record NC_000012.12, read on the forward strand.
ATTTTGGAATTTTGTGAGACGGGGTTTTGCCATGTTGGTCAGACTAGTCTCGAACTCCTGACCTCATGATCCGCCCGCCTTGGCCTCCCAAACTGTTGGGATTACAGGTGTGAGCCACTGTGCCCGGTCTTTTTTTTTTTTTTTTTGAGACAGGGTCTTATTCTGTTGCCTGGCCTGGAGTGCAGTGGTATGATCTTGGCTCACTGCAACCTGGACCTCCTGGGCTCAGGCGATCCTCCCACCTCAGCCTCCTTAGTAGCTGGGACTATAGGCACACACCACCATGCATGGCTAATTTTTATATTTTTTTGTAGAGACTGGGTTTCGCCATGTTGCCCAAGCTGGTCTTGAACTCCTGGGCTCAAGTGATCCACCTGCCTTGGCCTCCCAAAATGCTAGGATTACAGGTGTAAGCCACTGCGCCTGGCCCTAATTTTTGCATTTTTTGTAGAGATGGGGTTTCACTATATTGCCCAGGCTGGTCTTGAACTCCTGGGCTCAAGTGATCTTCCCATCACAGCCCCCTAAAGTGCTGGGATTATAGGCGTGAACCACTGTGCCTGGCTGAGGATTAAGTTTCAACCTCAGGGGAGCGGCATTCAAACTATAGCATTGTCCTTTAGTGACTGGCTTAGTTCACTTAGAATGTTTGTCTATTCATCCATCTATAGACACTGTTTTCTTTCACCTTTTGGCTTTGCAAATAATGCTGCTGTGAATATGAGTTATAGAAAAATACCAATTTGAATCCGTGTTTTCAATTACTTTGAGTATATACCTGGAAGTGGAATTTCTGGATCATATGGTACTTCCAAGTTTTTTTTTTTTCTTTTTTGAGACAAGGTCTCACTCTGTCACCCAGGCTGGAGTGTAGTGGCACGATCTTGGCTCACTGCAACCTCCGCCTCCCGGGTTCAAGCGATTCTCCTGCCTCAGCCTCTCAAGTAGCTGGGATTACAGGCACGCGCCACCACGCCCAACTAATTTTGTATTTTTAGTAGAGATGGGTTTCTCCATGTTGGTCAGGCTGCTCCCGAACTCCCGACCTCAGGTGATCTGCCTGCCTCAGCCTCCCAAAATTCTGGGATTACAGGTGTGAGCCACCGCACCTGGCCTCCATGTTTCAATTTTTAAACAAACAATTAGTTAAAAAAATAGGAAACTAAGAGAATGAACTATTTCCTGTTTTATTCAGTGGGTTATAATCTGTTACTATCATTGTTTATTTTGAGGTACAAATTGTCCCTACTTTGGCCAGCAGAGGATCCTGCAGTTTGTCTCCTGTGTCCTTTTCATAGCTCCTTGTTGGAACTCTTACTGGCCCACAATAGGATGTTCCAAGTTCATCTTCTTACTTTTACTGCCCCAACGCTGGGATCAGCCATTTCTTCAAGGAGGCCAGTTCCTTTCATTGGAGAATGGAAAACCCAATATGTAGAAACCAAGATAGAGGTGTTAGGTGTGATTGCTACTGGAGTGTCATTGCTTCCAAACCCTTTCAGAAGAGACCTAGGAAATGTGTGTGTGTGTGTATATATATATGTGTGTGTGTGTGTGTATTCATAAAAGCACATACACATACACATACCCCGAAGCATGTATTTCTGTATTATTATTATTTTTTTGAGATGGAGTCTTGCTCTGTCGCCCAGGCTGGAGTACAGTGGCACGATCATGGCTCACTGCAACCTCTGCCTCCTGGATTCAAGCAATTCTCCTGTCTCAGCCTCCTGAGTAGCTGGGATTACAGGTGTCCACCACCACGCCCACCTAATTTTTGTATTTTTAGTAGAGATGGGGTTTCACCACATTGGCCAGGATGGTCTTGAACTCCTGACGTCAAGTGATCTGCCCGCCTCGGCCTCCCAAAGTGCTGGGATTATAGGCGTGAGCCACTGTTCCCATCCAGAAGCATACATATCTATTTCTATATCTACATTTCTGTCTTTACATGTATATATTAAAAATTACAGTTTGCACTAATACCTCCAATTACAATCTAACATCATGGGATTTATTCTGGCTTTCTCCCTTCTCATATTTGTGTCTCCCCAACAGTGAGAAACCTGGCTTGCTATCCTCAACATGGTAACTTATTTATTAAGAAACTTATTCTTTTTTTTTTTTTTTTTCTGAGATTGAGTTTCGCTCTTGTTGCCCAAGCTGGAGTGCAGTGGTGTGATCTTGGCTCACCGCAACCTCTGCCTCCTGGGTTCAAGCGATTCTCCTGCCTCAGCTTCTCAAGTAGCTGGGATTACAGGCATGCACCACCATGCCCAGCTAATTTCGTATTTTTAGTAGAGATGGGTTTCTCCATGTTGGTCAGGCTGCTCTGGAACTCCCGACCCCAGCTGATCTGCCTGCCTCGGCCTCCCAAAGTCCTGGGATTACAGGCGTGAGCCACCGTGCCCTGCCTCTAGTTTATTTATTTTTATTCCATGTGCTCAGTCTTGCGAGCACGTGGTCTGTTTTCTTGGGCCTGGCCCCCTCAGTGCACTGTCTTAATACCCTAGCCCCCAGTCCCTCTGATCATATCCCCAGACACCCCTACTGAATCCCAGGTCTCTACCAAGGGAAAGGCAGGGAGGAGGCATTGACCAAGGAGAAGAGGGGGAAGGGACAGGGAAGGTCTTGATTTGTATTTTCTAAAATTTTCTACTCTGCTCATAATGCGTCTTAGCTGTGTTGTTGTGGAAAGTAGTGCTGACAGTGTCTTGTTTTTTTATTACTTACTTTGTCTTTCTTTTTAAGATGGTTTCACCCAAATATCACTGGTGTGGAGGCAGAAAACCTACTGTTGACAAGAGGAGTTGATGGCAGTTTTTTGGCAAGGCCTAGTAAAAGTAACCCTGGAGACTTCACACTTTCCGTTAGGTAAGTTGGAATGAAAAGAGAGGATCCTGAGAGTGTTTTCTAGGTAGGAAGTGGTAAAACCATGCTTGGATAGCTTGCTGCCTGCATTTCGAGTTTGAAGGCCTTATCTGAGCCCTGGGCTGCCTTCAGGGTTTGGGGAGTGGCCTCCTGGACATTTAGCAGAAGAGGAGTAAGGAGGGCCCTTCTTCTCCCTCTGAGACCTCATGGAAGGTGAGTTGGAGCAGGTCATAGAAGTTCTTAAGCCCTCCAGTGCTTGAGACTTGTTCCACACATCTTGAACCTGGTTTCTGCATTTTTCTTTTCCTTCCTGTTGATTTATTTAAAAATTTTATTTCTTTTCAATTTTTTTTTTTTTTTAAATAGAGGTGGGATCTTCCAATGTTGGCCAGGTTGGCCTTGAACTTCTGGCCTCAAGCAATCCTGCCTCGGCCTCCCAAAGTGTTAGGATTACAGGCGTGAGCCACTATGCCTGGCCTTCTTTTTTTGAGACAAGCTGTTGCTCTGTTGCCCAGGCTGGAGTGCAGTGGTACGATCACAGCTTACAGCAGCCTTGAACTCCTGGGCTTAAGTGATCCTCCCGCCTCAGCCTCCCGGGTAGCTGGGACTCCAGGCTTGTGCCACCATGCTCAGCATTTTTAAAAAATATTTTTTGTAGAGATGAGGTCTCACTGTATTACCAAGGCTGATCTTTAACTCTTAGCCTCAAGTGATCCTCCTGCCTCAGCCTCCCAAAGTGTTGGGATTACAGGCATGAGCCACCACACTCAGACTTTGTTGACTTCTTAATAAGAAAAATACTTGTTAAGAGTTTCTTCAGATCACTTTCCTTTATCAACAAGTAAAACATGACTGAGGAAGTTGTGGTCCCCTTTGCTTCCCTGCCCAGGCCCGTTTCCCTCCCTCTTTCCCCAGAGGAAACCACCAAGAGGTTGGCATATATTCTTCCTGAACGTGTTTTTATAGTTGTACTGCACTTGTACTGTGTATGAACAATATAAAGTTGGTTTGTGTGTTTAAAAAATTCACATACATGGATTTATAATGTATGTATCATTTTGCAACTTAAAAATTTTTTTTTGAGCTCCATGCTGATTGATAACGATCTATTTTTTTTTTTTGAGATGGAGTTTCAGTCTTATTGCCCAGGCTGAAGTGCAATGGCGTGATCTCAGCTCACTGCAACCTCAGCCTCCTGGGTTCAAGCTATTCTCCTGTCTCAGCCTCCGGAGTGGCTGGGATTACAGGTGCATGCCACCATGCCCAGCTAATTTTTGTATTTTTAGTAGAGATGGGGTTTCACCATGTCGACCAGGCTGGTCTCAAACTCCTGACCTCAGGTGATCTGCCTGCCTTGGCCTCCCAAAGTGCTGGAATTACAGGCATGAGCTACCATGCCTGGCCTTTTTTTTTTTTTTTTTTTGAGACAAAGTCTTGCTCTTTTTCCCAGGCTGGAGTGCAGTGGCCACAATCTTGGCTCACTGCAACCTCTGCCTCCTGAGTTCAAGCAGTTCTCCTGCCTCAGCCTCCTGAGTAGCTGGGATTACAGACATGTACCACCATGCCAAGTTAATTTTTGTATTTTTTGTAGAGACTAGGTTTTACCATGTTGGCCAGGCTGGTCCTGAACTCCTGACTTAAAGTGATCCATCTGCCTTGGCTTCCCAAAGTGCTGGGGTTACAGGCATGAGCTATCGCGCCTGGCCTGAGAAATCTCATTCTTACTCCTACTCCCTTGCACACTATCTCCATTCTGTAGGTAGCCATTTCTATTAATTTCTTGTTTACCCTTCTGTGTTTCTTTCATTCTTTTTCTTTTTTTCTTTTTTTTTTTTGAGACAATCTTGCTCTGTTGCCCAGACTGGAGTGCAGTGGTGTGATCTTGGCTCACCGCAACCTCCACCTCCTGGGTTCAAGTGATTTTCATGACTCAGCCACCTAAGTAGTTGGGATTACAGCGCCTGGTGTACACTACCACACCCAGCTAATTTGTGTATTTTTAGTAGAGATGGGGTTTCACCATGTTGTCCAGGCTAATCTCCAACTCTTGGCCTCAAGGGATCTGCCTGTCTCAGCCTCCCAAAGTGCTGGGATTATAGGCATGAGCCACCATGCCTGGCCCTATGTTTCTTTTTATAAAAATAAGCAAATTAATATTTTTATTACTATTTTCCTTTTATTTTTACACATCAAGTAGAACATTAAATATATTTCTCTGTAATTTTTTTCAGTTACCTAAATCTTTTAGTGATCTCTCTCATCTTTTTAATCAGCTGGATCGCATTCTATCATGTGAATATTTTATAACTTCTATATACTGTCACCAGCAGGTAGCGATTTAGTTGTGTCTAATATTTTAAAATGATATATAATGCCTCAATGAATATAGTAACCTTTTGCATATATTGTTTTGTGCTTTGGGATAACACTACCTCGTATTGGAAACTGTGTCATTACATGTGTCTTTAAAATTACATGTGTCTTTTTATTTTTATTTTTATTTTTTTTGAGTGGGAGTTTCACTCTTGTTGCCCAGGCTGGAGTGCAGTGGTGAGATCTCGGCCGACTGCAACTTCCGCCTCCCGGGTTCAAGCGATTCTCCTGCCTCAGCCTCCCCAGTAGGTGAGATTACAGGTGCCTGCCACCACGCCCAGCTAATTTTTGTATTTTTAGTAGGGACGGGGTTTCACCATGTTGGCCAGGCTGGTATCGGTCTGCTGACCTCAGGTGATCCTCCCACCTCAGCCTCCCAAAGTGCTGGGATTACAGACGTGAGCCACCATGCCTGGCCATCACTTTTTTTTTTTTCTTAATTGCTGCATAGTGGCCGGGCACAGTGGCTCACGCCTGTAATCCCAGCACTTTGGGAGGCCAAGGCAGGCGGCGGATCATGAGGTCAGGAGACCAATACCATCCTGGCTAACATGGTGAAACCCCGTCTCTACTAAAAATACAAAAAAATTTAGCTGGGCGTCGTGGCGGGCGCCTGTAGTCCCAGCTACTTGGGAGGTTGAGGCAGGAGAATGGTGTGAACCCGGGACGTGGAGCTTGCAGTGAGCCAAGATTGCACCACTGCACTCCAGCCTGGGTGATGGAGTGAGACTCTGTCTCAAAAACAAACAAACAAACAAAAAAATTGCTGCATAGTATTCCATTGTATGAGTAGTAACACAACAATTTTTATAATGCATAGTATTCCATTGTATGAATAGTAATGTAGCACTATTTGTTTATACATTTTTATGATTAAAAAACAAAATGTTTTTCTATTATGAATAAAGTGGCAATGAATATTTTTGTACAAGTGTTTTGGTAGCTATACAGTTATTGTCACTTAATATATGCAATTCGATAGGCCAGTCATTCAAAATAGAAGATATACAAGGTAGGCCGGGCGTGGTGGCTCACGCCTGTAATCTCAGCACTTTGGGAGGCCGAGGTGGGTGGATCACCTGTGGTTAGGAGTTTCAGACCAGCCTGACCAACATGGAGAAACCTCATCTCTACTAAAAATACAAAAGTAGCTGAGCGTGGTGGCGCATTCCTGTAATCCCAGCTTCTTGGGAGGCTGAGGTAGGAGAATCACTTGAACCTGGATTTATAATGTATGTAAATCCACCGCGAAGGTTGCGGTGAACCGAGATCACGTCATTGCACTCCAGCCTGGGCAATAAGAGCGAAACTCCATCTCAAAAAAAAAAAAAAAAGATATGCAAGGTAAAGATACTAATAAAGACCTTTGTGTTGAGTTGGTTGACATGTGGTTATTTCACCCATCGTATTTCTTATAGGGAATAGGTAAATTCGTTCCTTGGGTTTCTTTCAACACTTAGGTAAAATCCGACGTGGAAGATGAGATCTGATTTTACTGGTGTAACTCTTTATTTGTCCCCTTGCCTCCCTTTCCAATGGACTATTTTAGAAGAAATGGAGCTGTCACCCACATCAAGATTCAGAACACTGGTGATTACTATGACCTGTATGGAGGGGAGAAATTTGCCACTTTGGCTGAGTTGGTCCAGTATTACATGGAACATCACGGGCAATTAAAAGAGAAGAATGGAGATGTCATTGAGCTTAAATATCCTCTGAACTGTGCAGATCCTACCTCTGAAAGGTCAGTAACATTTTAGTGACCACAAAGTCTGCTGCTCCCTTGTGCCCTGAGTGTCAGAAATGCATGACGGTCTGTGTATGACTCTCTGACTCCAAAGGCTTGTGACTGTTTTTTGAGCTGTAATCTTTAAAGAATTACTAAAGTGAGACTAATAGCATCAAATTATTTTCAGAGTACCTTTTTCCTGCAAAAGTTTTAATCAGTGTTACTTACACTCATCCTATAGGGGTTGCATACCATTCCTGCATATACTTGGTACGTGTATTAGTTTTAAGACTTATTGAACTTCAGCAGATAATCTTTGAGAGTTATTAGAGGAAAACAAATGATAATGGAGACACCAAAATAGCAGCAGTTTTCTATGGTGGCTCTCGACCAGTTATTCAGCAATGTCACCAACAGATGTCAGTTTAAGCTCAGAAGTGGAAAAGCAGAGAGCTCAGAGGGTCAGCTTTTTCATCAGTTCTTTTAATGTTATCACCACAATTATGTGAGAATGACCTTGCTTAGAGAAAATTATGTTATTTTCGAGATCTTTCCCCCTGTGTTGGAACTAGGCTGATGAAAGCATGGGCTTGACTTATTTATTGATTGTATTCGTTTTGTACATTCCCAATCTCCTCTCTGACTTGGTGCAAATTCAGGATCTCTTAGTTAGTTTGTATATTTTGTGTCTTCAGGTATGATTTTTTCAGCTTATACCTTTATGTCAGTGCTATTATGTGCTGATAATTTGTTTCTCTAGCTACCACCGTAGCTTCAGGCAAAAGGCTGTCAGCCAACTCTGTACAGTTTATTTCTAAATTTTACTGTTTTCAGTTGAGTATGGATGAAGAATAACTCAAAGTTTATTCTTTTGATGATGAGCCCTTAACACCACCTGCCATGATAGTACTTGCTTTCTGACCAAGATCCTGAGGGAAAAAGCCACTTTATTATTAGAACTATGTTAAGATGCTTCCCAAAAAACATGGAGCAGTATTGTCTCAAAGTCTGTCCTTGGATGGCTTTGGATGCCTACATCAGGACTGTCTGATGTGCTGGTTAAAATGCAGATTCCTGGGCCTCATTCAGACTTACATGTATTGATATTGCTGGTTGTGGAGCCTGGGAATTCATATTTTTAGCAAAATCCCTCATTTTTACTCCAAGTCTTATGTGCATTATACAGTTTGAGATGATCACCCAGGATATAGTCCAAAGACACTGGAGGCTGTTGAAGTATAGGTTGTATATATGGAAAAGGTTGGAATGTTTGAATTAATTTATAATGAAGATCCTTTTTAATTGAGTGTTCACATGCCAAGGCAAGGACAAACATTCAAAATGATTTTCTGTCTCTGTTACAACTTTTTCTTTCTTTTTTTTAATTTATTTATTTGAGATGGAGTCTCACTCTGTCACCCAGGCTGGAGTCAAGTGACGCGATCTCGGCTCACTACAACCTCCGCCTCCCAGATTCAAGTAATTCTCTTGCCTCAGCCTCCCGAGTAGCTGGGACTACAGGCATGTGCCACCATGCCCAGTTAATTTTTGTATTTTTAGTAGAGACAGGGTTTTGTCATGTTTGCCAGGCTGGTCTCAAACTCCTGAACTCAGGTGATCCGCCCACCTTGACCTCTCAAAGTGCTGGGATTATAGGCGTGAGCCACCGTGCCTGTCTCTATTACAACTTTTTATTACAACTTCTTTATTTTGACTTTATTTTTACAAATTATTTATTTATTTTTTTTGAGATGGAGTTTCGCTCGTCACCCAGGCTGGAGTGCAATGGTGCGATCTCAGCTCACTGCAACCTCCGCCTCCCAGGTTCAAGTGATTCTCCTGCCTCAGCCTCCTGAGTAGCTGGGATTACAGGCACTTGCCACCACACCCGGCCAATTTTGTATTTTTAGCAGAGACAGGGTTTCACCATGTTGGTCAGGCTGGTCTCGAATTCTTGACCTCAGGTGATCCACCTGCCTCGGCCTCCCAAAGTGTTGGGATTACAGGCATGAGCCACCACGTCCGGCCGACTTTTATTTTTTTTTCTTGAGACAGGGTCTTGCTCTGTCACCCAAGCTGGAGTGCGGTGGCATGATCATAGCGCACTGCAGCCTCGACCTCCTGGACTCAAGTGATCCTCCTGCCTCGGCCTTGTGTATAGCTGGGATTACAGGCAGTTGCCACCATGCCAGGCTAATTTTTAATTGTTTTGTGAAGATGGGGATTTCACTGTGTTGCCCAGACTGGTCTTGAACTCCTGGCCTCAAGTGATCTTCCTGCCTTGGCCTTCCAAAGTGTTGGGATTACAGGCATAAGCCACTATGCATGGCCTGTAACTTCTTTAAATGGCTATAATTAAACAGTTGGTCCTTTTAAGATTGGGCAATGGACGAATGGCAAATTGCATTTTTAAAAGAGGAGGGATTTAAAAAAAAACAGGAAAGATTGGGGCATTTGTCTCTAAAGGACTGTGGACTCATTTAAGAAGTTTAGTGGTCATTCTTACCATCTTTGTGGTTTTTCCTGCCTGCATGGGATGCAGATTTTCTGTCTCAGGTGGGATTGATCAATCCCTTGGAGGAATGTGTCTACTTTTTAATTGTGTTTAGGAGAGCTGACTGTATACAGTAGTTTTGTGAAAGAACAACATGAACCCATAGTAGAGCTAAATTCTTTTTTATTTTTTAAAAACTTTAGGTGGTTTCATGGACATCTCTCTGGGAAAGAAGCAGAGAAATTATTAACTGAAAAAGGAAAACATGGTAGTTTTCTTGTACGAGAGAGCCAGAGCCACCCTGGAGATTTTGTTCTTTCTGTGCGCACTGGTGATGACAAAGGGGAGAGCAATGACGGCAAGTCTAAAGTGACCCATGTTATGATTCGCTGTCAGGTAAATCTCCAGTTGAAAAATGGGTCTGGCAAGATGTTACCTTTGGGTGATTTTTCTGCTGACAGAAGACAGACACCATTACATTCAAAGTCAGATTGTCTTTTATTTATTTATTTATTTATTTATTTATTTGAGACAGGGTCTTGCTCTATCACCTACAGATGGGGTTTCACCACGTTGGGTCTGGTGACCCAAATCTTTGGGTGATTTTTCTGCTGGAAGAGGACAAACACCATTACATTCAAAGTCAGATTTTCTGTTTTTTTTTTTTTTTTGTTTTTGTTTTTTTAATATTCATTTGTTTATTCATTTGAGACTGGGTCTTGCTCTGTCACGCAGGCTGGAGTGCAACCTCCCTGGGCTCAGTTGATCTTCCCTCAGCCTCTTGAGTAGCTGGGACTACAGGTGTGTGCCACCATGCCCAGCTAGTGTTTGTATTTTTTGTGGAGATGGTGTTTTGCCGCATTGCCCAGTGTGGTCTTGAACTAGTGCTCAAGAGGCCTGCCTCCTTCAACCTCTCAAAGTGTTAGGATTACAGATGTGAACTACTGTGCCTGATCCAAAGTCAGATTTTCTTTGCTTACTTAGTCAAGTTCGTCTATGCTTTTATTATACTTAATATATTAGTATAGTTACTGTATTAGTATATTAGCATATTTAATATATTATTATACTTATCATACTTGAGTATATTGAGTATATTTACACTTTTAGTATATTTGTATACACACACCACATTTTTATTATTTATCTTTTTTTTGAGACAGAGTCTCCCTCTGTCTCCCAGGCTGAAGCACAGTTGGCTCACTGCAACCTCTGCCTCTTGGGCTCAAGTGATTCTCGTGCCTCACCCTCCTGAGTAGCAGGGATTACAGGTGTCCACCACCAAGCCTGGCTAATTTTTGTATTTTTAGTGGATATGGGGTTTTACCATGTTGGCCAGGCTGGTCTCGAACTCCTGACCTCAAATGATCTGCCCGCCTTGGCCTCCCAAAGTGCTGGAATTACTGGCGTGAGCCACTGCACCCAGCCTATTATCTGTCTTTTGATGGACATTTAAGTTGTCTCTATATACTAGCTATTGTGAATAATGCTGCAGTGAACATGAGAGTGCTTGAAAACACTAATGTAACATAAAGGTAACAAATAATAAATGTCATGTGTTTATCTTGAAAGGAACTGAAATACGACGTTGGTGGAGGAGAACGGTTTGATTCTTTGACAGATCTTGTGGAACATTATAAGAAGAATCCTATGGTGGAAACATTGGGTACAGTACTACAACTCAAGCAGGTGAGCAGATTGGAAAGCTCAAGCTTTCTCCTTAAAAACTTAAAACAAATCCTAATAGAGAATTTTGCAAACATACAGAGGTAGACAGAATAGTATCATCAGCCTCCATGTACCCATTGCAGCTTCAACTATCAAATCTTTTTTTTTTTTTTTTTTTTTGAGACAGTCTTACTCTGTCACCCAGTCTGGAGTACAGTGTTGCAATCTTGGCTCACTACAACCTCTGCTTCCTGGGTTCAAGCGATTCTCCTGCCTCAGCCTCCTGAGTAGCTGGGACTACAGGTGCCCACCACCATGCCCGGCTAGTTTTTGTGTTTTTAATAGAGATGGGGTTTCACCATGTTGGCCTGGCTGGTCTTGAATTCCCGACCTCAGGTTTTCTGCCCGCCTTGGCCTCCCGAAGTTTTGGGATTACAGGCGTGAGCTACCACGCCCGGCCCTAAATCTTTTCTTATTATGATTCCACTCACTGACTGCCGCTATAGTACTTGGAAACATATTCCAGATTTATATTATTCCCATATTTATCTGTAAAAGGCATTACAGAGGTTCTTTTTTTTTTTTTTTTTTTTTGAGATGGAGTTTTGCTCTGTCGCCCAGGCTGGAGTGCAGTGGCGTGTTCTTGGCTCACTGCAACCTCTGCGTCCCGGGTTCAAGAGCTTCTCCTGCCTCAGCCTCCTGAGTAGCTGGGATTATAGGTGGTGCCACTACACCCAGCTAATTTTTGTATTTTTAGTAGAGATGGGGTTTCACCATGTTAGCCAGGCTGGTCTTGAACTCCTGACCTCAAGTGATCTGCCTGCCTCAGCCTCTCAAAGTGCTGGGATTATAGGCATGAGCCACTGCATCTGGCCTAAGGCTGTACAGAGTTTTAAAGCAAGTTTTCATTATAGATCCACTTCTGGTTACCTTTAGGTAACCTCACTTATTCACTTTGGCATTGTTGCTATTTCAAATTTCACCTTTATGATAGTGGAAAATGATATAATCTCTCTAAATAATGTGGTCTATTCATAAAGAAAAATAGGCTTGAATTTATATCAGCAGAGTAAAGTGTATGTGAAGACTGAAGAAAGATACATTTTCTGGCTGAACAGAAAACACGGTGAAACGATTTGAAAACTTTTATTGTGAATTACAGGGTCCTATGAACCCTCTGTCCGTGCCTTTATGAATATCAACATAGACATGTTTTTTTTTTTTTTTTTGCATTAACACCGTTTTCTGTAATATTTTCTTTATTTTACATCAACTGCTGTACTCGATCAGCCCCTTAACACGACTCGTATAAATGCTGCTGAAATAGAAAGCAGAGTTCGAGAACTAAGCAAATTAGCTGAGACCACAGATAAAGTCAAACAAGGCTTTTGGGAAGAATTTGAGGTAAGTTATTAAAAAACTGTTTTTACGTGAGTTGTTATATCCTATTTTTAGTGGAGGAGAAGTTGCTCTTGTGTTTGGAATTGGACCTGAGAGACTTGAAACTGACGTCCTTTTTTAATTCGGCCATTGATTGACACGGAGCAAGTTGCTGAGAGGGCTTCTTCGAAACAGAAGAGCATTGTGTTCTGAGGGAAGGGAGTTGGCAGTGAGTAGTCAATGGATGTGCTAGCCGCTCCATTTGGCTCTTTTGGTTTGGACTGGTGGCAAAATCTCAGAGAAACAAAAGGATCTAATTTCTTCGAAAGATTTCCAGCATGCACTGGGGTCTTTAGAAACAATCTATAGCCTTAGTGCAGCAAATGAGTATGAGTAAAAGAGAAACACCTTGTGGTGGCTTTTTTTTTTTTTTTTTTGAGACAGGGTCTCGCTCTGTCGCCGAAGCTGGAGTGTAGTGGCGTGATCTCGGTTTACTGCAGCCCCGTCCTCCCTGGGCTCAAGTGATCTTCCCATCTCAGCCTACTGAGTAGCTGGGACTACAGGCACATGCCCCTATGCCTGGCTAATTTTTGTATTTTTGGTAGAGATGAGGTTTTGCAGTGTTGCCCAGGCTGGTCTTGAACTCTTGGGCTCAAGTGATCCTCCTACTTAAGCTTCCCGAGTAGCTGGGACTACAGGCACACGATACCATGCCCATCTAATTTTTGTATTTTTTTGTAGAGATGGGGTTTTGCAGTGTTGCCCAGGCTGGTCTTGAACTCTTGGGCTCAAGTGATCCTCCAGCTTTGACGTGCCAAATGTGGTGGCTTTAATTTCAGAGTTCAAATTGATAACTCTGGTAAGTTAAGTGAACTGATTTCTTTTTTTTTTAAATTATTTTTGTTGATTATACTTTAAGTTCTGGGATATATGTGCAGAACGTGCAGGTTTGTACATAGGTATACATGTGCCATCATGGTTTGCTGCACACATTAACCCATCATTTAGGTTTTAAGTCCTGCATGCATTAGGTGTTTGTCCTAATGCTCTCCCTCCCCTTTAATGCATCAGTGAAAAAGTGATGATAGGCTGGGCGTGGTGGCTCACTCCTGTAATCTCAGCACTTTGAGAGGGTGAGGCAGGTGGACCACTTGAATCCAGGAGTTTGCCCCCATCCCCAGACAGTGTGTGTGATGTTCCCCTCCCTGTGTCCATGTGTTCTCATTGTTTGGTTTTCTGTTCCTGTGTTAGTTTGCTGAGAATGATGGTTTCCAGCTTCATCCATGACCCTGCAAAGGACATGAACTCATTCTTTTTTTATGGCTGCATAGTATTCCATGGTGTGTATGTGCCACATTTTCTTTATCCGGTCTATCATTGATGGGCATTTGGGTTGGTTCCAAGTCTTTGCTATTGTAAATAGTGCTGCAATAAACATATGTGTGCATATGTCTTTATAGTAGAATGTTTTATAATCCTTTGGGTATATACCCAGTAATGGGATTGCTGGGTCAAATGGTATTTCTGGTTCTAGATCCTTGAGGAGTCACCACACTGTCTTCCACAATGGTTCAACTAATTTACACTCCCACCAACAGTGTAAAAGCATTCCTATTTCTCCACATCTTCTCCAGCATCTGTTGTTTCCTGACTTTAAGTGAACTGATCTCTTTCCTGAAACTAACTTGGGTTGGAGAATGTCCCTGATGGGAATGTGCTGTGTTCCCATTGCACTCTTCTATATCACTTACCCATTGACAATGTGATCTCTTTCATTTTCTCCTCATCCATTTGACAGAAAACTTCAAAAACAAGGATTCTGGCATATTTACCTTTGCAGTTGTCCCCAGCATGTAGCACGGTGCCTAGTACACAGAAGAAACTCCATAAATGTTTGTTGAATGAGATTTACATTTAACTCATGTTTACATCATTTTATTTTCCTGTTCTGTTTTATGGGAATGATTATTCTATGCTTTTTGAGGACTACAATTTATAAATATTTGTGGATTGAATGAATAAGTGAATACTGGGCAAATAAAGTCCTTTTAGCCAGAGTATGTCTGAACAACTTGCTGAGATAGATATGATTTCCCATTTTCCAGCTGAGGGGCCTAAGGGAGGTTAAGTAAATTATTCAATCTTCATACCACAGTTTTTGTTTTGTTTTGTTTTGTTTTTTTTCCTCCTGAGACAGAGTCTCACTTTGCTGCCATACTGGAGTACAGTGGTGCAATCATAGCTCACTGCAGCGTCCAACTTCTGGGCTCACGCCATCCTCCCACCTCAGCCTCCTGAGTAGCTGGTACTACAGGTGTGCACCACCATAGCCGGCTAATTTTTCATTTTTTGTAGATATGGGGTCTCACTGTGTTACTCAGGTTGGTCTTGAACTTCTGAGCTCAAACAATTCTCCTGTCTTGGCCTCTCAAAGTGTTGGGATTACAGGTGTGAGCCACTGTGCCCGGCCCATACCACAGATATTGATTGAATTCCAGCAGTGGGGAGGAGTGTGGAATAGAACATTCTCAGTCCTTGCTCAACATTACTGAACAGAGACTTGAATTTGAGTTTATTCTCTCATCCCAGGCTTCGCGTTAGGCTCTGAAGACACTAGTGAACAAGACAGACAGGGTTACTGCCTTTAAAGGGAGCTTTTAGTTGAGAGAAGGAAAACAGTGATGAAAAGCATCAGTGAAAAAGTGATGATAGGCTGGGGCGTAGTGGCTACTCCTGTAATCTCAGCACTTTTAGAGGGTGAGGCAGGCAGCTCACTTGATTCCAGGAGTTTGAGACCAGGCTGGGCAACATGGTAAAACCCCGTCTCTACAAAAAATACAAAAAGTAGCTGGGTGTGGGGGTGCGCACCCACAGTCCCAGCTACTCTGGGGGTTGAGGTGGGAGGATTGCTCGAGCCTGGGAGATTGAGGCTGCAGTGAGCTGAGATCACGTCACTGCTCTCCAGCCTGAGCAACAGAGCCAGAACCTGTCCCAAAAAAAAAAAAAATTGATGATAAACATAGTGAGACAGAATTTTGAAATCTCAGCCTCACTGTTGCCTTCCTTGTCCCCTGCCTGCCTAAATAATAAAAGGCAGCATTTCAGCAGTCATTCATTTCATTACTTTCACTTCATTTCACCTTCATAAAGCCTCATGAGGTAAGATGGGAAGATACAGAAGTTTTAGAAACCGCTCATCAAAATTGAATGGAAAGCCGATTGTTCCAAAACTTTTTAGTGTGGAAAATTTCTATTATATGCAAAAGTAGAGAGAATGGGATAGTTATAGCAGTATACCTGACACCCAGCATTAACAACTGTTGATAATATGGCCAATCTTTTTCGACTCTGCCCCACTCACTTCCCCAGCCCTGACTTGTCTTGAAGCAAATACTTTTTTTTTTTTTTTGAGATAGAGTTTTGTTTTGTTTTGTTTTTTGTTTTTGAGATGGAGTCTCACTCTGTCCCCCAAGCTGGAGTGCTGTGGCTTGATCTTGGCTCACTACAACCTCCGCCTCCTGGGTTCAAGTGATTCTTGTGCCTCAGCCTCCTGAGTAACTGGGATTACAGGTGTGTACCACCATGCCCAGCTAATTTTTGTATTTTTAGTAGGGACAGGGTTTTCACTATGTTGGCCACGCTGGTCTCAAACTCCTGACCTCAGGTGATCCGCCTGACTTGGCCTCCGAAAGTGCTGGGATTGTAGGTGTGAGCCACTGCTCCCGGCCTTGAAGCAAATCTTAACACATCATTTCGTCTGTAACTATTTTATTTCAAAAAATTATAACCTGAATAGCATTATCATATCTAAAACTATTAACAGTATTTCCTTAATATTAACACATATCAGTCACATTTTCCTGATTGCTACACACACACACACACACACACACACACACACACTTGCAATTTGTGTTTTTTTCTTTTTAGATGGATCTCACTCTGTTGCCCAGGCTGGAGTGCAATGGTGCATTCTCAGCTCACTGCAACCTCCACCTCCTGGGCTCAACTGATTCTCTTGCCTCAGCCTCCTGAGTAGCTGGGACTACAGGTGCCCACCACCTCACCTGGCTAGTTTTTGTATTTTTA